>NC_000003.12:82131212-82434242 GCF_000001405.40 Homo sapiens
ACTTTTTTCAGCATGTAAATTTTCAAATTAAAAAATAGCAACTCCATCAAAAAATCATTTTCATGAATTGGTATATCACAAATCACAAAACAAAATTTTAAAAATTAAATTGTTTTCACTATTTGTATTCTCTTAATGTGTTCAGTTCCTCCTTTGCTTTTGTGGAATACATTTTAATGGCTTTCTCCTTGTAAGCTTTTGTTCAATCATTACAGTTTGCTAAAAGCTTCAAAACTGGAGATTATTGGTGATCCACTTATTGAATAATTGGAGAAAGTTTCACCAGTTGACCCTGAAGAAAACACAACTAAAATTTAGAAGTCCCAATGATGTGGTTTAGATTTATGTCCCTGCCCAAATCTTATTTCAAGTTGTAATACCTAATGTTGGATGAGGGGCCTGGTGGGAGGTGACTGGATCATGGGGGCAGATTCCCCCTTCCTGGTCTCGTGATAGTGAGTTCTCATGAAATGTGGTTGTTTAAAAATGTGTGGCACCTCCTGCCACCTCTTTTCCTCTGGCTCAGGACATGTAAGATGTGCCTGCTTCCCCTTTGCCTTCTGCCATAATTGTGACTTTCTTGAGGTTCCCCCAGCCGTGCTTACTGTACATTCTGTGGAACTGTCAGCTAATTAAACCTCTAATCTTTATAAGTTAACCACTTTCAGGTATTTCTTTATAGCAGTGTGGGAATGGACTAAAACACTCACTTTATAAAAACATTTAATGCCATTGCAAGAAAACTAGAATGAATTACAAAGTGGTTGTTCAAATGTTCAAACATTCTAAAATGATTGATGCTAGACAGCAGAGAGAGAACCTTCGACACCTTCTAAGTTCATTTCCACATCCTGAGTTCCTTTGTTTAGCCAGATTTTTTTGTCCTTAATAAATTATGCTCTCCCCAAATTTGAATTCGCATAATTACAAAACCAGTAAGTGAATCTCTAATTTTGCACTTTTTAAAGGAATTTATAATAACATTAAAACAATGCAGTATTTTAATCTTTAACTGAATAAACTTCCAAAGTTCCCCAACAGCTCCCCACTCCTTCATGTTAGAATCTGTGACTTATAGTTAATGCCAAGAGAAAAAGGAAGAACTTCTCAGTTCTAGTCTACGATAGTCACTTCTGGTATCCTTAGAATCCAGCTATGCATGGCTCTGCCTACATGCCTTGTGTGTGTGAATCCCAGAACACAGCTAGAGACAGCTAGTGGTGCACTGGAGTCAGCGCCTACCAGCTTGTTAGGAATGATTGTGAGCATCTCTTTCCAATTCCACATTCAGTGACTTTAATTTGGTAGCTTGAAATTGTTCATGGTAGAAATATTTACACCCAGAAATTAACAAATGCTACAAGTCGTATTTCCCAACCTCACTCCTCTACCCTGAGAGCTGGTTGTTAAACATTTACCAGCACTCTACTGTAGGAAGCACACAGCCTTCCTGGGCACAGCATGCAGCTATTCCTTTCTGAGGATTCCCATTTGAAAATGGCTCTGCAGTAGAGTGGCTCATGGTCAGAGCAAACCACAAATCCAGGTTTGGTTAGGACAATCTTGTGCTAGTGTCCTGTTCTGTTTAGCATTTGAACCTGAAATATACACTTTTGTAATAATGGATGGAATACAAGTAATACAATTAATGGTTGCATTAAAATGAATCAGGATGGGTTTGGTGGAACTCCACTGTCTACTTCCAGCTTCTGCCATGATTTTGCCTACTAGTATGTAAAATATATGCTGAGATCAGGATTTTCTCTTAACATATGGGGAAATAAAAAAGATGACCTTACAACACCCAATTCTATTTTTCTGACCCCTCTCATACACAACATAATTTTTATTTCTCTTTGAACTACAGTATGTTAAGTGCTTGCCCATGATAAAATGAAATGTACTCACACGTGAGCAGGTTTAGGTTCAGCCAACTTCATCTGGTTTGGATGGTGGGAAAAGTTCCACACTGCGGCCCCTGCTGGACACTTAGTGTAATAGAGTCCCATGTTACCAAGGAGCAATTCAGAATGCAGTCAGTGCCACTGTATCTTATTTCTTAGAAATTATCCCAGTAAAAAAAAAAATATTTTGCAGCTTCACTAAAATGGAGTTTTTCAAAGGGCTAAAACTCAGCTTTTAAGCGATTGGGAGCCAGCAGTGTTTGCCACCATAATTAAGTGTTACGTGCATAATTTACAATTGTTCTATTTTATAGCCAAATATTTTTATATCCTACTAGGTTTTGGAGGATGAACTCAAAATAATATTTTCATCAAGTACACACTAGTCACTACGACCCTAACTTCAGCAAAATAGATAGTAAGTGATTAAAATTTATGTAGACTATCTAAAGAATAAAAAGGTATTTAAAAATAAAGTATAACACAAAGGTACGTTGGTTTACTATAACTGTTGTAACAAATTACCACAAATTTAGTGGCTTAAAACATAGATGTATTCTTTTACAGTTTTATAGGTTGGAAGATCTGACATGGGCTAAAATCAAGGTGTCAATGGGGCTGTGTTACTTCCCAGAGACTCTAGGAGAAAAATAATTCTCTTGCCTTTTCCAGCTTCTAGAGACTTCTTGCATTTCTTGGCTCATGGTTCCCTTCCTCCAGCTTCAAAGCTAGCAAGGTTGCATCTCTCTGGCCATTCTTTCATAGTTACATCTCCCTCTTTCTGACCACACCTTAAAAAGATAATCTAATTTTAAGGACTCATTTTAAGGACACACCTGAGTAATCCAGGACAATCTCGTCATGCCATGGTCCTTATTAATCACATCTGTGAAAATGCCCTGTAAGATAACACAGTCACATGTTCCTGTGATGAGGCTGTGAATGTCTTTGAGGGGGCTATCATTCTGTCTACCACACAAGCAATATGTTCTCAGCAAAGAATATGTAAAGTCCCCAAAAAAGGCTGCAGACTTCAATCTTCTGTCACTGCTCTGAAAAGATTGACAAAAAATTACCTAAATTTGGAATAACTTTTAGAGCAATAAGTCAAAAATGTGGGTGTCAGTGTTGATTTGTTTTTTTAAATTTTCCTGCATGTATCAGCTACCACCTTCCCATATAATATCAAGATGAGATACTAGCCACACACAAGACCAAATACTGGATAATTTCTTCATTACTGTAATTCCTTGAAATGTTTGTTCATGATGGCCAGATATCTATTGTTTGGTTAGGAATTAATTCTGTAATTATTTTAAAAAAAGAGTTTGCTGTCCAAGGCGACACATGTGGCTCAGGTGCATTTCAAGAGCTCTGCTGTTAGTTTCTCTAATGAGAGCCAGGGTTCTGGATGCACATGCATTTTTTTTTTTTCCTAAAGGCTTCATGCCCACTTAATTAAATGAAAGAAATAATCACAGAATGGAGCTCCTTTCCATCTTGGCCAAATACTGTGTAAATTTTAATTCAAAGTTTACTTCAAAGATAAATACAAAGAGAGACATATATGTCATACAATTTCATTTTAAATTTCAATAATAAACTTTGGTCAAATTTAAAGTCAAATAGATATGATTGACCATTTACATACAAATACATATTTCTGTTCAGTATTCATACATAAATAAACATAAATATCCACAAATTAAGGCATATGCAATTTTAGAAAAAAGTTTCTCAAGGGCAAAACTTCTTAAAATTGTCTTATATAATCAGTAAGAAAGCAAAGAATATTTTAAAAATAGAAGTTAATCAACACAACTGAACATAAGGGAATAATCTCTGATATGGATGGGAGAAATGTTGAAAATTGAGTGAATTCATGAAGGGAAATCTATCTATAAAAGCATGAGATACAATCTATCTATAAATACATAAATAAATTTATAAATCTATAAATGCTTTTATACAATCTATAAAAGCATGAGATAAATTCAGTTGAATATACTAATCAATTTTACTCTCTGAAGACGTAATTCTGCTATCACCGTCTTGAAATATCTACAACAAAAGGCTTTTGAAATTATAAACTTCCAATAAAAATAAAAGATGTATAAAAATGGACATTTAAAATTAAAATTTAATATGTATTTTTGTTACTTATAAATATTTTTTATTTTGAAAATTCTTCATTCTCATCTTAGTTTTTGAGGGCTGCTGTAACAAATTACTACAAACTGGGTTGCTTAAAACAACAGAAATCCATTCTTCCACAATTCTGGGTGCTAAAAGTCAGAAATCAAGGTGTAGGCAGAGCCATGCTCACTTTGGAACTTCTGTGGAAGAATGCTTCCTTGCGTCTTCTATCTTCTGGTAGCCTAGATTTTCCTTGGCTTGTGGCCCCATAACTCCAGTCTCTTCCTATCTCCACATGGTCACACTCTCTCTGTCTCTGTTTCCTTTTATAGGGATACTTTATATTGATTAAAGGGTTAACCCTACTACAGTGGGACATCATCTTAACTAATTACATCTGCAATGATGGTATTTCCAATTAAGGTCACATTCTAAGGTGCTGGAATTTACCAACATATCTTTTTTAGAGGGATACAATTCAACCCCATAAATATCCCATTCTATAAAAATACTGGTTCTCTTACAAGGCTAAAGGAAATGAAACTGGTGTGGACATTTCTATCTCATTTTTTTAGTAGAACAAGAATTAATCTAAATGGCTATGTGTTCATACTGGCTCAATAATTCAGTTTTTTCCTAATTACATTAAAATTATTTGGATATGGTGTCAGGGAACTGATAAAACTGAATATATTTTATAGTTTGTGTTAAGATTAACATACACTGTTTAGTCAATAATGGAATGAAGATATTGACAATATGGGCTAGATTCTAGACTTTACTTTCTGTTCTCAAGTCCCAATTCTGAATAAGCAACTATCATCTCTCTTAGTGTACTTGCATAAGAAATTAAAGTAATAGGGTTGGGTGTGGTGGCTCATGGCTATAATCCTAGCACTTTGGGAGGCTGAGGCAGGAAGATTGCTTGAGGCCAGGAGTTCAAGGCCAACCTGGTCAACATAGAGAGACCCTGTCTCTATTGACAACAAAAGAAGAAGAAATTAAATAGGCAGGTTTTTAGTGCTGTCTAATCTGCTTCACAAACCTGATGATACACTAAATTTTATGAAAATTACATGTGTGCATGTGGTTGTCTCACATATTTTATGGAACAAGGCAGATAGAGTATGAGTGAGTAAATAAAATGCATGTGCATGTTGAAAAGTCGTCTTTCTTAATTTAAGCAATGCATAAGGTATGATAGATTTCTGTTAGAGAAAACTAGACCAATATGTGACTATTCAAATTGGCCAAGATTCTGTTTTTGTTTTTTTTTTTTTTTGAAATTCACACCTACAGCAATACAGCTGAATTAAGAACTTGTCTATGCAGAAATATTCTCAGTAGTCACCAACCAAAGTTTATAGAGAGTTTCAGCGAGAAAAAACCCACTTATTTTTCTTATCTCATCCAGGGAATTTTATATTATGGTGGAAAAAATTGATTTGTAGGTTTATTTTATTTTTTTTAATGAGATGGCTCTGTCACCCAGCCTGGAGTATAGTGGCACAATCATAGCTCATTGCAGCCTGGAACCCTGGGCTCAAGGGATCCTTCCGCCTCAGCCTCCTGAGTCTCCGGGATTACAGGTGTGTGCCACTGCACTGGCTAATTTTTACAAATTTTGTGTAGAGATGGAGTCTCATCATGTTGTCCAGGCTGGTCTTAAACTCCTGGCTTCAAGACATCCTCCCTTCTTGGCCTCCCAAAGTACTGGGATCGTGTGAGCCACTGCACCTGGTGTCATCATTTAAATTTTATAGTTTTCTACTAATTTATAAAATATGTTTTTCTTTAAGCTGCTACAAATAAATACATTAAATAAGTAAATAGGCTCCCTAACTCATTATTAAATGAGTTAGGCTTCCTAACCTATTATTAAACAAATAATAGGCCCAGTATTGTTCCCAGGATTATATGACAAGATAGGAACCCTAGCACCCAGTCTCCTTAGGCACACTATGCAACTATGTTTTTCTGAGGTATTGCCGCTTACCAAGGGTGCTGTGATAGTGTGGTACGTGGTCAGAATGAAACATACCTTCTGGTTTGCCTGGTACAATCCAGTGAACACCTGTTATGTTCACTTCTGCAGCATTTGTCCTGAATTGCTTATTTTGTAATGAGGTATGAATTACAAATAAACACATGAAAATAAACCAGAATAGGTTCGGTAGACTTTGATGTTATAATTCCACCTTCTGCCAAAGTCTTGTAATCTAGGGCATGAAGCTCATAAATAGCAGTTAAAGTTCTCTTTTAACATGGGACTAAATTAAAAAAAAAAAAGAGATAACCAGCAATAACTCATTACTGTTTCCTGATTCCTCCCAGATACAATGCATAGTCTTTTTCAAGGAGAATATGCCAGTGTTTTGGCTGATGCCAAAATAAAATGCACTTAGACATGGTGAGCTTAGGTCAGTTAACTCCTTTGACAATGGATGGTGGTAGGAAAAGAATTCCACACTACTGCTGTAGTGATGAATAGTTTTAGATTTTTTTTTTTCTCATCAGAGTATCAGGATGTCACATAGAAACTCATGGGCATACTAAATCAACTTTGCATTTCCATTGCAGCAAGAAAATATTTTGAAAACCAGGGCTTTGTTTTTTCCATTAACAGAAAAGGGATACTTTTTAAGGTAAAAACTCACAGTATGACCCACTTGGTTATGTCTAATTTTGTCAGTGAGTTTCAATCATCTAACAAAAAACGAAGAAACAAAAGGACCATATAAAATGGCATACAATGACATATCAGCAGAATTTGAAACAATCAGACAGCATGAGGGATCCCCAAGGGAGAAGAAAGCTATTTGGCTGCTTGACTAATTATATGCACTAATAGATTTCCATTGGGCCCTCTGGTTTTTAAGAGTTCATTTAATTGCTGGATCAAATTAGATGTATTTCCAGGCTCTTCTCACGGCCAGGGCATATATGCAGAAATAGAGCAAAATCAGGATTCAGGAAACCTGAATTCAGACTCTTCCATTTTCCAGTATCCTTTGAATATTCTGAGTCTCACTTTCATGATCAATAAAATGGAGATAGTAAAAATTTAACCCCCAAAACTATTTAAGGACAACTCTAAGAAAGATAATTGTTATATGTAAATAATTATACAAATACAAATATTACTATTAATCTCAATTGACTTGAACTGTCCAGCAATTCTTCACGGCAATAACATCCCATTTAATTTACTTCCTTAACATGTAAATACTTTTCTTTCCCTTACAGATCACAAAAAAAAATGTTTGTTTTCCTTTAAAAATACAAACAAATTTTCTTACTATTTTTTTAACCTAGTGCATAAAAAAGTTTTGTTTCATAGATAATGCTTAATAAATATAATCAGATTTGCTGCGTGGGAATTCTGAGTCAGTAAACATCGTGTGTTTAACTTCTACAAGCAAACTTATTGAAGAATCACCACTAATAAAACTTGATCACTAACCTCATTTGGGTCCCATTATCTGAATCACCCCAGCTTTAGCTGTGATGTGAATAAATGTCATTTGATTGTGTGTGATTTTTATATAAAGACGTTAACATGCATTTAATTGCATTTTTCTGTTTCTCCTCTAGTAAAGAAATTTTTTTGAGGCAGGACTATGACTTGTCGTTTCTTTTGATGTGATTATCCCTTAAATCTCAATATATTTTGAAAGATTGATAATCAGAAGAAATTCATATGAGAGATCTCTTTGCAATTAGTATGCAATGATTGGATAACTTGCCTCATATTGAAATGGGATATAGTTCCCTTGACCCCTTCAGGGACTTGCAAAAGGTTGGCTCATTTACTCAGCTCACAGCTTTCAACCCCTTGAGGGAGGGGAGCACATAGGTGAGTGGGTGCAGAGGCCAGGATGAGAGCTTCAGGGCAACTGGCAAGAGCAGAACTTTTTGTGGGCCCGTGGCAGCGTCTAGGGGTTGCCATGACCCCTGGAGCCCCAGAGGGCGTGTGTTAAGTGTGCCCTTTTAGCTTTGCCATCTGTACATGGCTTAAATGTTAAACAGCTCAGTGGAGGGTCAGTGTGATAGCCTCTTGCAACTGCATCTGGCATCCAGGAAGAATCAGGTCACCCGAACGAATCGAAGGGTGGTGAATGTGGAGGATTTTATTGAGCAGTGGAAGTGGCTGTCAGCAGATGGGGAGCTGGAAAGGGGATGGAGTGGGAAGGTGGTCTTCCCATGGAGTTAGACCGTCCCTGGCTGAACTCTTCCCCGAGGTCAAGCCATTCCTCTGAAGTCAAGCTGCTTCTCTCTGATGTCCGGCTGTTCCTTCTCTTCTCTCCTTCTCTGCTGCTTGCCACTCTGGGGCTTTTATGGGTACAAGGTGGGGCAGGCCAGGATGGTTTTGGAAAAGGCAACATTCAGGTGGGAAAACAGCAATGCACGTTCTCACTTTGGGCCACAGGTCCAGGCTTGAGCGTGTGGCCCTCATTGGGGACTGCCCTCTTCTACCCATTATTTCCCTACCTCCTGTCCATATCAGCATAGCATATAAGATCACCAGATATTACTGTATAAACTTGATTGGTAATGAGGTGATACATATGACAATATATAAATGAAGACAGAATTAACCATAGGTTTATGGTTATTAGTGTATTGCAGTTATAATGGTGTTCCACATCTACTTTTGTGTACATATTTTCCAGACTGATGGAAATTTATGATTAAGTGACACAGAATGTAAAATTAACTTCTGATAATTTTCTCAGAGTACCAATATGTGCCAGGTTTCACTAGCAAGGTGAAATGGAATTCAGGGACATCATTCTAAACATGTAAATAATTGTTGTCTATTTACCTAGGTAAAAGCTTCATGGGCCACTTAATTTTTTTCCCCCATTGTACTTATGGCCTTTGTTAAAATGCTACTGTTCCAAATAAATAAATAGATATATATGAAGTATGAATTCATCATGCAAATTTCTAACCTAGTATGACTTGTGAGCTCATAATGAACTACATTATTGGAAGTAGCGTTTTATGGAACATGGTTTTTACTTGCACACTTACTTCTGTTCATTAAAACAAGGAGCACATCATAATGAATAAAACATTAGTATTCCATTTATTACATCCACTACTAAGGTGCCAATACTGACCATAAATTGAACTCATGCTTTCCCACATCTATGCTGATATCCACTGAATAGTCATCTAAAAATTATTGAGAGACAAAAGGTTAGGTTTCCCAGAGGCTGTCAACATCTGTATATCTTTCAGTAACTAAACACTATTCATTTTAGAAAGCAGAGAACATGAACAGATGGAATTTGACCTTTTGTGGCATATGGATAAAATAAATCTAATTTACTTTGTGTTAAATATCATTCTGTAATTATAAAAAATGCACTTTTTAAGGAATGAAACTAACTAGAAAGGATTTTTAAAGGTGTGGGAAATTATGTTGCCTTGAAGTCATACATTTGCATAGAATAGTAAGCATGTATCCTAATATGTATGGTAATATCTCACTGACCTCATGTCATGAGGAACTAAGTAATTATACCTTAGTATGTTTTCAAATTCTGAATTTTATCACTTTAAACACCATTTTAAAATATTACCTCTATTTCAGAATTCTTTCTAACATGTTATGTGCTTTTTAGCCTAGGAAAAAAAATCGTATTACCTTTTATAGTATCAAAAATTAAAAAACAAACAACAAAATGAGTGATTGAAAATTTTGGGTTAGGGAGAATTTTCAATTCATCAAAAAATATAAATAATATATAAAAATGTAAATAATATATTGCAAAATAAATGAAGATTATTACTAAAATTACCATTCTTAGTGTGAAAACTAAGTGTAATTAAAATGATCAAAATCATTAGAATTCTCCTCCTTAAGTTTGGTTAGAAAATATCAGCTAATTACAATGATGAAAGTAGAAGGGTTGAGAAGAATAGCCAGTTATTTCTAAATTTATTTTAATATTATCTCCACTGATTTTACCCACTTGCAGTATCAGTGGAAAGATGGAAAGATGGGGATTAGGGGAAATTGGTATGAATAACAATGTTGGTAAAGGAAGGATAGCAAGTAGTAATAGCAGATGCTCTTAAGTCTCTTAAAGAAATTTGAGACATTACTCTCATAAGTAATCAGTAATTACTTCACAAAGTTAATTTATAGTTAAAATCATCATCACTATCATCATCATCATCATGAACACTTAAGAGATAAGATAATTCATGTTAAGTGCCAATTAGATGGACTAGTGGGGTTCTTGAAAAGCTTTTTGAATTAGGTGAGACTTAATTTGACCCATAAGTTAAGGACTTAAAGAAATAGAAAGGCAGGCAGGCAGTGTCTTTCATCTGAACATTGGTGTGAGCAATAATGCTAAAACATGCATTTCTCTGTTTGGGGGAATGTGTGCAGCTTATTTCTCATAAATAAAAAAGACTGTGCTGACTTAGAACTGAATTGAGTAAAAACATTATATTTACATAGCTGTTAATTCAATGCCTCAATTTGCATATCATTTGTGCTGCATTACCATACCTGTCAATCAATTCTGGACACAAGCCAGTAAAGTGGCAAACATTCAGGCTGAAATTACAGGAAGAAGAAGAAAAAAACAAACAAATGTGGCTTTAAAATGCCTATATACCTCTCCTTAGAGAGTATATGGATTTGGTTATAATTATGAATGAATCCTTTCGGTATTTTATGAGCAATAGAGTTATCAATCACATAATTTAAAATAAAACAACATCAGGCCAGGCGTGGTGGCTCACGCCTGTAATCCCAACAATTTGGGAGGCCGAGGTGGGCGGATCACGTGAGATCAGGAGTTCCAGATCAGCCTGGCCAACATGGTGAAACCCTGTCTCTACCGAAAATACAAAAATTAGCCAGGCATGGTGGCGGGCGCCTGTAATCCCAGCTACTCAGGAGGCTGAGGCAGGAGAATCTCTTGAACCCAGGGAGGTGGAGGTTGCAGTGAGCCAAGATAGTGCCATTGCACTCCAGCCTGGGCAACAAGAGCAAAACTCCTTCTCAAAAATAAATAAATAAAAATAAAACAAGATCTTCCAATCAAATCTTAGATTGCAGTACAATCATATATAAAGTATGAGTTTTAGTGAGAAAAATTATTCTTGGAGTCTAGGTAAGTACTCTTTGTTTTCTTTTTAAAGTGTTTTGTGTAATGATTTTTAAGATTACAGTACCATAGAGCTAAAATGTATAACTACTCATTTATGATTACTAGGAGATTAATCATGATTAACAGGAAATTATTTATTGCATAGTGGTAAAAAACTTGAGCTCTGGAGTGAGATGCACTTGGATCCAAATCTCAGTTCTTCTGTTTACTCCTCTTTGAACTTGGTGAAATTTGTTTCCTCATTGATAAAATGAGGGTGATAAAATTTGTATCCTCATTAATAAAAAGAGGAGAGAGAATGAGAATTATTCCAACCCTATCTAGCTCAAGTCCGCTGAAACCAGGAGTAATTAGATATGTTTGCATTTAGTCCAGGGCAGTATGCTTTCCTGTAAAGATATCAAACTTTCTTGAATGAATGAGAATAACCTGTCTTCAATTTTTCAAGTTTTTTGAAACCTATTCCCTTTAGGTTTTGTTTTTTTGTTTGTGTGTGTATGTGTGTGTGTGTGTGTGTGTGTGTGTGTGTGTATGTGTGAATTAATGGGTTAATGCTTTTAATGTACTTAGCACTGTGCCTGACTCAGTAAGAGCTCAGTGAATGTTAGCTGCAGACACCATTCACTCTTTACATCTTAATAGCACACTCTGTGTATATTATGTATGTTTGCTATTAGCATAATTGAAAGTATGGAACATATGAGAAGTTGGCACCATCCTAGATATGCTACTAATTGATTGAATTAGTCACTAGCCTCCCTAGCCCTAAGTTCTAGCTTCCCCCGCAAATTCCTTCCAGTATTTCTGAGGTTACTCCTAGCTCCCTTTCAGAATTCTTCTTGCACTAGTAGTGTTACAGGATTACCTTTAAACTCCTTTGCATTTTTTAATAAGATATTTGCAAACCGAGACTGTATTTGTTACTTAGGTCAGCACCTTTTTTTCTTACCTCTTTCAGTGAGGTTTGCTCAAACATTTGCCAAACAATTAGATACACGTGTCATAATACACCCAATTTTTTAAGTGTTTTGAAACATTGTTAAATGGTTCTTAGGAAATGTTGCATATTTCCATCAGGGAAATACAAACATGGACAATATTTTAAGTCTAATGGTTTTAGAAGCTTTTGCTCTTCTGAGAAAGCCTTTCACTAAGATGCAATAGACATTACAAAGGTGTATTCTGAGATGCTAAGTACATTGTAAATGCTCTGGGCATCCATTTCCCCATCTTCACTATAAAGTTGAATTACATTAATATGCATATCCATTTAATAGAAATTCAGTGTTATGTATAAAGAGTATCTATGTCTATGTATTTATGTATGTGTGTGTGTGTACTTGGCCAACAAGTCAAAATATAACCCTTACATCTGTACAAGAAGAGATTTTCTTTTGTAGTTAGGTAAAAGAAAGTTATTTATCATGCAACGACGCAACACTTGATGTTTCAGGGCCTGAGTCAATAGGGAGGCCATAGTCATCACAGAAGTCCTAAGAACAGAAATTATGTGAGAGAGAAAAAGAGAGAGAATAAGAACTATTCCAATCCTATCTAGCTCAATTCCTCTGAAACAAGGAGTAATTAGGTATGTTTTGCGTTTATTCCAAGACAGCAGGCTTTATTTTCCTGTAAACATATCAGACTTTCTTGAATGAATGAGAATAACCTGTCTTCAATAGGAAGCACAGCCAAAAAAAACCTCAGAAACTTCTTAGGTTTCTGAGTGGATAGTTCAGTCATATAGGTCTGTGGCTATGTGATTAAAAACTTGCTTCCACTTGTCCTGGTAATCTCTTTTGTTTCAGTCTTTTCAGCAGGTTTGTTTGCTTGCCTTCCTCTTGGCTGGCTGTCCAGTCTTTCACCAGTATGACCTCACAACTTGCCTTCCCTCCAATTGTTCTGTTCTGAGTTACTCAGCTGATCATGCTTACCTTGAATCTCAGTAAACTTGGGTCCAGATGCCAATGCCCTGTCTTGGATTCTGGGTATATTTTCTGGGATTCTAGATGTATAGCACATATTTTAACAGGATAAACGTAAGAATTTTAAAACTAGGACAGAAGTAACTAATACTTTGGAGAAAAGGTAGATGAAACAATTTGCCTTTCATTACAAATAATTCTAGTAAGTTGAAAAAAATAATTACCAGTTTGGTGAAGGAAATGTCACATGGTGGTTTGGCTTCCAATCAGGCAGTTAAAAATTTTTCAGCTAATAAGTAAAACTGTGAAATTAAAACAAAAAATACCTCAAACTTGACAAGGATTGGGAAATGTTAATAGTAATATTCAAATTTGTAATCAGCAGGAGGGTAAAAATCAAAGGGCTATTCAATCATTATTAAAGAAATAGTTCATGAATTTATTATAGACTAATCTCATTTTCATTTCTGATTGGTAGTTTAAGGCAAGTTATACATAATAAATATGAATGTGAGCCATGCATTTAACATAGTAATTCATAAGCTTTTGAATGATTGTCCTCCTCCACTGAGTGTACACACAGCTTTGGAAGGAACACACAGAGAGCAGACTGGGAAGAGGGAATATCTGTAGTGTCTACTAGAGAAACAGAACTGATTGAGGCAACAGATAGGATGGTTACAGCTTGACAGCCCTCACAGCCCTGTCATGATAAGATACAAGAACACACTGGATGCTAGTAAAGTACAGTGAATTGAGGGACAGGTGATTGCTGATTAATGGATCATTGTCTATGATGATAAGGTTTCGAACAGTATGTTTCAGAGCTCTGTTCCTTTAAAAATGTCTCATCCAACAGTTTTATCAATGGCTTTTCTGCACACGGAGAAGTCGTGATCATTTTATTTGTGAGTGACACAAATCTAGATTGGTAGGTAATACATTGGATGCAAAATTTTTTTTTGATTCTAGAGCTCTTGCTCAGTTGGAAGAATGGCCTGAATCAAACAAAAAAGAAATTAATGGATAATATGAAGTTCTACTTCTAAACTTTTAAACAATTCAATGACAAAACAAACAGAACCTCCAGATAAAATAAAATTAAAATCAATGAATAAATGTATGTCAGTTGATGTAAAAATATTTTGGAGGACCTGCATATCTCTAAGATTGACACAAATTAATATGATCCATAACTAACACAAATGAATTTAGGATGCACTGATGGAGACATAGTGTAGAGAACAAGGCTAGATTATACTGTGAACTCTACTAATGAATTTGAGGTGCATTCCAGGAAACATAACATACGGAACAAAATTAAATTCAGTCTATTCTACTTTGGATTCAGCTTTGCAAATCACATTTTAAGGAAATGGCAGACTGCGATGGTTAATTTTGGGTGTCAACTTAACTGATTTAAGGGTCATGCAGATAGCTGGTAAAGCGTCACTTATTCTCCGTGCTTCAGTAGGCACTGAGCCCATCCCTTTTCTGCTAAAAGAGAAACCCAGGTTGTTTGACATTTGATTAGAATAATTGGGCTGCCCCAGGTGTGTCTGTGAGGTGTTTCTGTAGGAGATTGGTATGTGAGTCAGCAGATTGAATGGGGAAGAGCCACCCTTATATGGGCAGGCACCATCCAATTGAGTGGGAGTGGTAGTGATGAGGGGCAGTGCCCAGGCAGAAGAGAAGGATAGAGAAAGGGCAAATTAGAGCCCTCTCTTCCAGAGCCAAAGCACCCTTCTTCTCCCACCCTTGGATGTCAGAACAGGCAATTTAGTCCTTAGACTCCAGATCTTGCCCCAGCTGTACCCCAGCCCCTCAGGTCTTCAGTCTCAGACAGTTACACCATAGGCTTCCTTGGTTCTAAGGCATTTAAGCTTAGACTGAGGGAGTCATGCTACTGGCTTCCCTGGTTTTCCAGCTTGCAGACAGCCCATGGTGGGACTTTTCAGCTTCCTCAAGTGAGTGAGCCAATTCCTCTAATAAATCGCATCTCATATATCTCTCTACATATATCCTATTGGTCCTGTTTCTCTGGAGAATCTGACTGAAACACTAAATGTGTTTATTAGGATGATGAAACAAAGATGCTATATGAAACACCTCAGTGAAATAGGTATTAAAACACATTTTTAATAGTTATGCATGGGAGAAGATAGCAAGGATCAATGGTAAGGCCTGAGTAGGACATAGCCAGTGACTCACTTGGGCCCAAGTAGAAGGTGATGCCAGGAGAAAACAGTGTGTATTTAAAATCCATGCCTGTTGATATGGTTTGGCTCTGTGTCCCCACCCAAATCACACCTTGAATTGTAATAATGCCCATGTGTCAAGGGCAGGACCAGGTGGACCAGATCATGGGGGCAGTTTCCCTCATTCTGTTCTTGGGATAATGAGTGAGTCTCATGAGATCTGATGGTTTTATAAGCATCTGGCATTTCCCCTTCTTGCACTCATTCTCTCTCCTGCCACCCTGTGAAGAGGTGCCTTCCACTACGATTGTAAGTTTCCTGAGGCCTCCCCAGCCATGCAGACTGTGAGTCAATTCAGCCTCTTTAGAAATTAACCAGTCTCAGGTATTTTTGTATAGCAGAGTGAGAACAGAGTAATACCCCCATCAAATGACAACTTTGCTCAGGAAGTGTATTTTAGTTACAGCTGTTTATCAGTTGAGACTAGACTACCCAGAGGGAACATATAATTAAAGCAAAAATAGGTAAGTTGCTGCAGGGAAGCCAGGAATTATCAATAACATACCTTCAATGTCAGAAATGATTTTTCTGACGATGTCTAAATGTGGTAGATTACACGTTATTCCAAATTATCAGAAAAATCATCTCTGACATTTAAGGTACACCTTTCACAGGAAGGCCTTGCAGTCCCATGGCCATCAGCAGAGATATATAATCTTTCAGCGAGAGCCAAACGATTTGCAGTACTTCCTTGTGAGAAGAATGTTCTTTTCTTTAGGCCTGGCCATGTGACTTGCTTCAGCCAATGGAATGTGAGGGGTTGTCACATATGAGATATTGGAAAGAAACTTGAAGGGCTACTGGGAGTTTCCAGAACTATATCTTTACCTTTGCCAAGAGGACAAGATGGAAATGGCATATCGTCCTGGATCCCAGGTGTCAAGACATATGGAACACAGCTGCAGACTTGCTACAGATGCCCAGCTGAACTATAATGAGAAGAATAAATAAACCTTTATAGTTGTAGGCCATTAAAATTTAGTGGTGTTTGTTACTGAAAACTTACCTGGAAAAAATATGACTGATGACACAGCACAGAAGCCAGGGAAAATAGCTGTGACTGGTCCCTGAGGTGAGGCCCTGGGATAGGCTACATCAAGTTTCCTTGATGTGATTTGGCTGGTTAAGCTTAAATAAGATGCTTGCAACACTACAGCCTTGTAAACAGAAGACCTAGAGGAGACAGGATAACTGACTACACAGGTCTAAGAGGATTTAAAATTATTTAATTGTCTCTAGAAGGTAGGTCTAGAGAAAAGACAAGTAGCATGGACTTCTTTTGAGGTAGGATACTTCCCATTACTAAAGCCAAGTAGAGATGGAGTTCCTGATTTCTTAGGATTTGGGGAGAAGAATCACAGGAAAGCATTAGGGCAGAATGATTCAATAAAACTCTACACTGTAATGCAATGGCTAACATTTCTTCATATGGTTTTTGTAAAAGGCCAAAATACTTGCCTAAGTAAAATGGAAAAGATGGTAAAATTTAGCTTTCATTTATCTCCTCTCTAAGTGTCCTTTGCCTGTTATCATTTACTAGCAAAAGGAAACACGAGGACTTTCCTACTGCTTCTTTCTCTACCTTAAACAAGAGATCTGTACACATAATTAAGGTCATGAAGTCCTTGTCATAGAAGAGCAAATAATTGGTCTAAGCTTGGTTCTGCTTTACATGTATATTATTCCCTAGGACAGATCACTTTAAGCTCCCTGAGCTTGGATTTTTTTTTTTTTTTTTTTACTTTTAGTTTTTTTTTTGAGATGGAGTCTTACTCTGTTGCCTAGGCTGGAGTGCAGAGGCACGATCTCGGCTCACTGCAACCTCTACCTCCTGGGTTCAAGCAATTCTACTTCTTCAGCTTCCTGAGTAGCTGGGATTACAGGTGTGTGCCACCATGTCCAGCTAATTTTTTTTTTGTATTTTTTTAGTAGAGACAGGGTTTCACCATGTTGGTCAGGCTGGTCTCAAACTCCTGACCTCGTGATCCGCCCACTTTGGCCTCCCAAAGTGCTGGCATTACAGGCGTGAGCCACCGTGCATGGCCGGCTTATTTTTATTGTTTTATTTTTTCTTTTTAATTGTTTGTAGAGATAGGGTCTCCCTTTGTTGCCTAAGCTTGTCTAGAACTCCTGGCTTCAAGCAATGCTCCTGCTTTGGGCTCTGAAAGTGCTGAGATTATAGGCCATGAGCCACCACGCCCAGCCATAAGCTTGGCTTATTAAGTAGGAGTTATTAAATTTCTCCTGCCTACTTCATAGTGATGTTGTAAGGATGAAACATAA
Organism: Homo sapiens; assembly: GCF_000001405.40. Lineage (NCBI taxonomy): Eukaryota > Metazoa > Chordata > Mammalia > Primates > Hominidae > Homo > Homo sapiens. The sequence continues at coordinate 82,148,858 of NC_000003.12, forward strand.
TAATATAGGTAAACACATTTGTTAAAAATTTAGGGGTACTCAAATGTAGACAGTTATTATCATTGCCTTTATTGTCATCATTATCATCATCATCACACTATACATAATTATACTCTAAAAAAAGATTACATCCTGATAACAATATTAAGTAGAAAGAAATGGCTACTCACTGTGAAAATATAAATGGGGATAATTATTTTCCCAATAGAGAGGAGATGCTTACTAGGAGCTCTCAAACTACAGTACTTAGGTAGCATTGTTTCCTTTCTATCTGTAACGTTTTCTTTAGTAAAAAAAGCAATTATTTAGTCACTGAAGCTAGGCAACAAGGATATGTTCAAATATTCTCCCTAGTAATTCCTTTATATAATATAGAGTATATATACGATATAAAATATTTAATGCATGTTTGCTACTCATTGGTATTAATCAAGGGTCATCATTCTTCTTTATGATTTGTGAAAAAAGTAAGGGACCACAGTGAGTTGATCAATAACAAAATGTGACAATGTAGAAGGCAGAATGAAACTGTGAAGCAATCTGGGAAAATTGAAAGCATGCTTTATACAAATGCAAGTTGGTAGTAATCAAAGGATTCTAAAAGTAATTCAGAGACACACCATATGGAAAGTTGATGCTGGACAAAATGTGGTGTTTGGCACTGTCCAATTCTATTTTGTGCTAATTTCTGACTTTCTAGGACTGTTATCGCGTAACATCTTAGCCTGTTCAGAGTGCTATAAAGAAGTGCTATAAACTGGGTGGCATGTAAACGACAGAAATTTATTTCACCCACTCTGGAGACTGGGAAGTCAAAGATCAGTCTCCTGGCAGATTTCATGTCTGGTGGGGGTCTACTTCCTGGTTCATGGAAGGGCACCTTCTCTCTATGTCTTCATGTGGTGGAAGGGGTGAAGGAGCTTGCTTGGGCCTATTTTATAGGGGCACTAATTCCATTCATGAGGACTTGTCCTAATGACCTAATCACCCCCCTAAAGGCCCCACCTCTCAATATCATCACCCTGGGGTTTAGGATTTTAACATAGGTTTTGAGGGGACACAAACATTCAGACCATTGCACAGAATCTTCAAGTACCATGTACACTCATTCTTCGACCCTGGTACATGTTTGCGTGCTGTGTTCAGCTTTTTCCAGCCCTTATCCTTACTCTCATCCCCATAAACTCCCAAACTACTAAATTGCCTTCCTCTTCCCCATCAAATTCCTCCTTGCCCCAGTATTATTTATTTCAGGGGAGCTATTCAAGTGACCTGCTAATATGTAACTGATGACCAGGGGTTATGGCATTGTGAAATAGGCTGTTTACGAATAAATTTAAGGTAAAATTTCAGACAGTATGAAAAAGTTAAATGAATTACTAACAGTAGTGGAGATACAATATCTGAGGCCAGGTAAGAGTTAAATGTCAATGTAATCAAATTATAAAATTAGCCTAATTTGAGGTATTATCTGAATATTTACAACAATATCAGGAAGATGTATGGACTATTGGGGTCAATCCTTAAAAAGAGATAAATTAAGGATCAAGCACTATAATTAGGAAAGACTTTAAATTGGTTTCTTCTTCTTTTCAGCACTTACTAGATGGGAGATAAATTTTTGCTGTTATTGTTATTGTTCTGGCATTTATGCAGTTCTTTCTCACCGTTTTTAAGTACCATCTATCTTCATGTACAAAGTTAGCAGCAGCTGATGCATATTTGGTATGAAATATATACTTTTCATGGGCAATATACATTTGAAGAGAGTTTGATAAGCACAATTTTAAAAAAGATTTTTTTTAATGCCTACTGTATTCTCTTTACAATGTGTTTGAAATACTGAAAATTTATTCATGTTATGATAGAAGGAAATGTAAGTTTAAAAATAGTTAATGGTTTTATTTATTTTCTCCTCTCTATTTACTGTATATTGTCAAAATGGATGTGTGGTGGTGTAATAAATGTAACCAATTTCTTGAAGCTAATAACTAATCCTGAGTGAATCTGAGCCAATGCTATAGTCCATTAACTTTCGAACTATGGTTATAATTTTCTTTAACAGACCCAGATACAGGCTATATTTTATCATTATCATAAACCTGGAGAGGAAACTGAAAGTAGAGAGAGATAGAGGTTTACATAGTTCACACAAAGGCTCTTGTTAAAGGCAAAAAGTCATAGATTAAAAATCTAAACCTGCTTTATGGTTCTCTATCCTCCTTGACTATGAAATATACAGGATTCTTAAGCACGAGGTTCTTATGGAAATAAGTCAGGAAAGAACTAGGACTCAACAACAGTACAAGCAACAGAAAATAAATGGTCTTTAAAGCCTTAGTAAATGCACATGTCGCTGCCACTAACTAGATTATATGAAAAAGAACAGAAGGTACCCCTACTCAACCAAAATATTTTGATTTAATACCAAAGCACAAAAAGGCACATCTCAAGTGTTAGCAATACCTTAAGCTTTACTATTTAAAAAGAATTATTTGGATTGTAGCCACATTTAAAAGAGAAAACCAATATAAATCAAATGCCCTTTCTTTTCTGGTGCACAGCTTATAGAAATATGTTTATTTTTGCATCCCTGTATTTGCATACATACCACTCTTCTTGTTTCTTTGATAAAAGTTTTATGGGCAATAAATTATAAATCATGCTTATATATAATTTATCCCTTTAAATACATATTTTATTTTTTGGCTTTTTAAATGAAAACTGTCTTTAGCTTTGTATTTTTAAGAGATTCAAATTCAATACTTTAAGAAATTCATGAATAAAGCATGTTTCAACCTTAATTTACATTTTTATAGTGTCTGCTGAAGAACAGTATAGATTTTGCTTTCTGAGTGTACTCTTTCAAGCAGACACGATTCCCTTAAGAATAAGCCTTCAGAAAATTCACTTGCCCTTCATAAAACATACATTTCATTATCTCCCTATAAATTGGACACTTCCCTAACATGGTTGTGCATTTGTGTCTACTCCCTGAATATTGTAATATCCCCTAGTTCACATACACACACTAATACAAACAGAAAATGGCCATTTTATTGTGTTGAATTCAATGGCAAGTGACCTGACATGAATCCAAAATGCATTTTACCTCCAAGAAGATAATCTTGATATTATTCAATCCTTTAAGTAAGAAAATGATGTGGGAGATTAGTTTTCCTTAACTCTAATCACATTTTAGACTTGGTTTAATGTTATTAGATTGCTTAAAGTAGCTATTATTTTAGAATATATTTAGAATACTGAACCAAATAACTTGTTGATAAACTACCTAGGAATAGACTTCTCATACTCATAAAATCTCACGATTTTATTTAATTTTTTGGAAAATAAAGCTAAGGAACATAGTTCATCTAGATTGGCTCATTGAGACTCAGATACTGGCAAAGCATAGATAACATCCTCTTTTCTCTTAGTCCATTTCCCATAGGCCTATTTCTTAGCAATCATTGCTTTATGAGGCTTTTGTTTTGTAATTAGGTTGCATTTCCCTCGAGGCTAGAGCTTTGAATAAGAGGAAAAAAAAAAAGATATTACCTGGGAGGAAAATCCTATTGTACATGGACTAAGGTTAGCAACCTCAACATTCATCCTCTTTCATGCATTCTTCCTCTTTATTACTGTAAGAATGCTCTATAGTGACAATGATTTTTTTAATAATATCTCACCTTCTGACTGAAATACCTTTGTTTCTGTTACACATTGAATTTTGTCCTTCCAAAAATATATGTCGAGGTGCTAATAAAACTCAGTGTCTCACAGTGTAACCATACCTGGAAATAGTCTTTACAGAGATAATGAAGTAAAAACGAGGTCATTAGGTTGGTTCCTAATCTGCTATGACTGGTGTTCTTACAAGAAGGGGAAAGCTAGACCCAGAAATAGACCTACACAACGCGTGTGTGAAAGACAATGTGGATTCCCTCTTTTTCTATTGATTGGAATAGTTTCAGAAGGAATGGTACCAGTTCCTCCATGTACCTCTGGTAGAATTCGGCTGTGAATCCATCTGGTCCTGGACTCTTTTTGGTTGGTAAACTATTGATTATTGCCACAATTTCAGAGCCTGTTATTGGTCTATTCAGGGATTCAACTTCTTCCTGGTTTAGTCTTGAGAGAGTGTATGTGTCGAGGAATGTATCCATTTCTTCTAGATTTTCTAGTTTATTTGCGTAGAGGTGTTTGTAGTATTCTCTGATGGTAGTTTGTATTTCTGTGGGATCGGTGGTGATATCCCCTTTATCATTTTTTATTGTGTCTATTTGATTCTTCTCTCTCTTTTTCTTTATTAGTCTTGCTAGCGGTCTATCAATTTTGTTGATCCTTTCAAAAAACCAGCTCCTGGATTCATTGATTTTTTGAAGGGTTTTTTGTGTCTCTATTTCCTTCAGTTCTGCTCTGATTTTAGTTATTTCTTGCCTTCTGCTAGCTTTTGAATGTGTTTGCTCTTGCTTTTCTAGTTCTTTTAATTGTGATGTTAGGGTGTCAATTTTGGATCTTTCCTGCTTTCTCTTGTAGGCATTTAGTGCTATAAATTTCCCTCTACACACTGCTTTGAATGCGTCCCAGAGATTCTGGTATGTGGTGTCTTTGTTCTCGTTGGTTTCAAAGAACATCTTTATTTCTGCCTTCATTTCGTTATGTACCCAGTAGTCATTCAGGAGCAGGTTGTTCAGTTTCCATGTAGTTGAGCAGCTTTGAGTGAGATTCTTACTCCTGAGTTCTAGTTTGATTGCACTGTGGTCTGAGAGATAGTTTGTTATAATTTCTGTTCTTTTACATTTGCTGAGGAGAGCTTTACTTCCAACTATGTGGTCAATTTTGGAATAGGTGTGGTGTGGTGCTGAAAAAAATGTATATTCTGTTGATTTGGGGTGGAGAGTTCTGTAGATGTCTATTAGGTCTGCTTGGTGCAGAGCTGAGTTCAATTCCTGGGTATCCTTGTTGACTTTCTGTCTCGTTGATCTGTCTAATGTTGACAGTGGGGTGTTAAAGTCTCCCATTATTAATGTGTGGGAGTCTAAGTCTCTTTGTAGGTCACTGAGGACTTGCTTTATGAATCTGGGTGCTCCTGTATTGGGTGCATAAATATTTAGGATAGTTAGCTCCTCTTGTTGAATTGATCCCTTTACCATTATGTAATGGCCTTCTTTGTCTCTTTTGATCTTTGTTGGTTTACATAGTTCACACAAAGGCTCTTTAAAGCCTTAGTAAATGCACATGTCGCTGCCACTAACTAGATTACCTGGAGAGGAAACTGAAAGTAGAGAGAGATAGAGGTTTAAAGTCTGTTTTATCAGAGACTAGGATTGCAACCCCTGCCTTTTTTTGTTTTCCATTGGCATAAAGAAATGCTCATTTTCTGTTGCTTGTACTGTTGTTGAGTCCTAGTTCTTTCCTGACTTATTTCCATAAGAACCTCGTGCTTAAGAATCCTGTATATTTCATAGTCAAGGAGGATAGAGAACCATAAAGCAGGTTTAGATTTTTAATCTATGACTTTTTGCCTTTAACAAGAGCAATGCTCAGTCTTGCAAGGAAGATAGACATTACATTATTGAAATGACTTTTAAGGCAGAAGAGCAGCCGAATTCTACATATTTTATTTTTTGGCTTTTTAAATGAAAACTGTCTTTAGCTTTGTATTTTTAAGAGATTCAAATTCAATACTTTAAGAAATTCATGAATAAAGCATGTTTCAACCTTAAATTACATATAAGCATGATTTATAATTTATTGCCCATAAAACTTTTATCAAAGAAACAAGAAGAGTGGTATGTATGCAAATACAGGGATGCAAAAATAAACATATTTCTATAAGCTGTGCACCAGAAAAGAAAGGGCATTTGATTTATATTGGATTGTAGCCACATTTAAAAGAGAGGTACAAGGAGGAGCTGGTACCATTCCTTCTGAAACTGAAGAACAGTATAGATTTTGCTTTCTGAGTGTACTCTTTCAAGCAGACACGATTCCCTTATGCTTTGGCTCTAGTACTTATTAGATGCCCCACAAATATTTATTTAACAAATAAACAACTGAATGGCAGCATGTCATCTGCTCCCTTGCCTGCTCTTTCATCTGGACTTGTACTCTGTTATAAGTGGTGTGTAACTTTGTTAGGGCTGCTGCAAAACAACAACACAGATTTATTCTATTACAGTTCTGGAGGCCAGGGGTCTAACATAAGGCTTTGGCAGGGCAATGCTCCCTCTCAAGGCTCTAGAGGAGAATGCCTCTTTGCTTCTTTTAGCTTCTGGTGGCTCCTTGCATTCCTTGTTTTATGGCAACATAACTTTAATCTCTGCCTCTGTCTTCATGCCTTTTTTCCTTGTATCTTTGTGTCTCAATTCTCCTTCTTCTTTTCTCTTATAAAGTTACCTGTTGTTGGACTTAGGGCCCACCCTAAATCTAGGGTGACCTCATTTTTAAATCCTTAATTTAATTATATCTGCAAAGACCTCTTTCCAAGTAGGATCACATTCATAGGATCTAGGGATTAAGGCTTGAACATATTTTCAGAATCACTGTGTAACCTACTACAGAGTGAGGCTGATTAATTTGATAGATTTGTGGGACTACTGGTATAAACTAAGCTGCTTCGGGGTGAAGATGAAAAGTGTTGTGTGGAGTGAGAATTTTTTTTTCTACTGTTACATGGAATCCAGTAGTCATCTGGGGGCTGGTGGCATTGCTGACATAAGGAGGTAATTGCCTTTGGTATGGACGTTGGTGTTCTTTCAGTGGCAGAAGCTGAAAACTCCTGATGTTCCTTTCAGCTGCTTCACAGGGAGAGGACACGGGTGAACAAAAGTTTGAGTAGCGAAAGACACCCGAGGAGACTGTAGCTGAGAGAGGTTTCTGTGGAGTTTCTGAAATGACAGGGTGACAGCTTGAATGAGGATATTGGTGAACTCAGATCCACTAGGGATGGGGAATAAATTTAAGGGTGAACCTAGTTTCATCCACAGCCTGGTAAGAACAGGTGACATTTAGGTTACAGCTATAATTCACATAAAAATGAGTATTTTATGATTATATGAAATAAAATACAAGGAATTTTCAATTAATCACATTAATGTGAGCAGGACAAGATGAATAGTTGAAGTTCACAGAATCTTCCACTTAATTTTAGCCTTAAATTCACCATTTTTTCCTCATTAACATTACTATAAAACAAAATCGAGTGATTTGGGTCTCTCTCTTTGATTGAAATCTCCTTCTGGTGAGGCTAATTAGAAATAGCAATATTAAAAAGCATAATCAGTCTTATATTTAAGTAGAATAACTCCTTTGACTTGACTAACAGCCCACTATGATGTCCTAAATTACCCAGGGTTAAAATAGAAAATATCACTGGAAAGTAACGTATTTTCTATTTTCAGCCATTTGTACTTTTTTTCTGATACTTTTCAATACGAAATTACAGGAGCAATAGTCTTCTGTGCAAAAGAGTTAAGTTAGTATGGTAGATGGGGTTAAAACCCCACAAAGAACAAGGGCAGTGAAATCAGAATTCCCGTGTTGAGCACTAAATAGTCACAGAAGTTTGAGTAAATCACTTAATCTTTCTGATAAATTCAAAGAGCTCTCCCAGCTCTACTACTCTGTGATTCTAAAGAGGAAAGATATATTAAGATCTGTCTGACTTTTGCAACAGTCTCTTTGGAGGGCAGATTTTTTATGTAGGGGTTCTGTATACCAAATGAGGGGTTCTGTATACCAAAGGATCAACTGAAAGGTTTTGGCAAGGCTCCTGGAATCTATAAGAGATGATTTCACAAGGAGTCTCACACAGAACCAAAGTTAAATTAGCCCACTTTGCCTGAAGCCAGAGAGTGACGCAGAAAGAGAGAATAAAAGGAGTAGAAGTTATTAGATCTCATACATAGAAGAAAATAAGTCTATGCAGTAATTCCTTTCCCAAAAATTTACTAGTTAAATATTGGAAACTAGTATTATGCTTGTGAAGGCTCTACCATTTCTCAGTCCTCTTATTATCTCTTGAAAGCTATGTCCAGATTTGGAATGTGTGTATGCTATGTGAAGAGTTGGCACTTGGTTCTCCTTCCTCCTTTTGTCTCTCTCTCTCTCTTCTGCCCTCCCTTTCCTCCTTTATTCTTTGTTTCCTTTTCTACATTAAGCCTATTGAATAAGAAACAAGGACTTTCCTCAATCTTGAAGGTGATTTACTGAGGGCTCCTTTGCACATCAGAAGTGAGCATTTCTTATCACTCATTTATAGCATGTACTTTAAATTTACATTAATAACTTGGAATCTATACTAATTGAAAAAAAGAAAGCAAATATTGGTAACAATTTATTTAAGATAAATATTTAAAAACTGGAAAGTCTTTCTTTTGTGACCAGACTAAGCTAAGTAGTAAAATAAGAAAGGTTCTTACCAATATTTAATATCAAAACCAGTTCTCTGCTTTAAAACATAATTTTAGATAAGCTATATTCTCTTGTATTTTTTGGCTAAACCAGAGATACCTGGTCCATTTTGCTAAGTCATTACACAATCACTACATTATGAAATATGAAGACATTTTTAAAATAGATATTAAAATTAAAAGAAGAAGTTTTGAAGGTAATAAACAGAAAGAAAAGTGGAAAAGATCAACTTTACAAACATACACAGCATGGCAACAATAATACTTGCATATTCCAAGCAGCAGTTGGATACATGTAATTCATATTTTTTGGAAGAAATAAATTTGAAATGTTCAATAATATTTTACCATAATAACCAGACTAAAAGACTGTTGAAACCACCTTTGTAAAAATTATAACAATGAGAGAACTCTAACCCGACTCCATCTTGTTTCTGACCTCAAAAGCTAACTACCTTTACTCATCCTTGGGCACAGACCAATCTAACTGTGGGAAGAATTTAGTTTATAGTTTAACGTTGAAGCAGGGATGATAACAACTCCTCCCAAAACTGACTCCCTCCAGGGACTAAAACCACCTTTGTAAGACTAATGAAAGGCCACAAGGATAGGATTACGAGAGGGGCCTGAGTTCTGCTAAGATGTAGGTATAGTTAAATAGCGACCCCTTGTTCCTTAGCTTGCTTTTCTATAATCTCTTACTTTTCAGGAGTCATGTAGCTGGAGGTCACAAGATTTCTAACTTTCTAATTGCTCCTGTGGAGAACATCGCTATTGTAAAACCTAAGATTGAGCTTTGAGATATATTCCAGAATTTTGCATTCTGGCAACTGATTGACTTAACCCGGACGGGACCCATGACTCATACCAAGGAACTGATTCACCAGTTCTGTGACCCCCCCAACCCAGAAACTGACTCAGTATGCAAAGTCAGTTTGGACACTTCGATGATTTCATCCCCAGTCAATCAGCACACATTTCCCATCCCCCTGCCCTCCAAATTTTCCTTAAAAAACCCTAACCTCTGAGCTCTTGGGGAGGTGGATTTGTGAAAAATCTCCCACCATCCACCTCGGTTGGCCCTACAATTCTTGAACTCTTTCTCTTACTGAAACTCCTGTTGTTCCCAGTGTTTGGATTTTCTGAGCAGTGGGCAAGAAGAACCTGTTGGGCTGTAACTCTAGATGTACCTACCAATTTTACATCTGGGATGCTATCCTAAGGTAATTAGAGATATTCAATATATAGATAATAAATGACCACAATTATTTAATAATTTCTCACCCTTCCTGAAATTGACATATTGCCAGGCATTGACTACATACTTCTTCTAGATCATTTTCTTCAATATTTACAATCTTTGCAATGCCCCTGGTCTCTTCTGGTTTCACAGAGCAAAAAATTGCCCATAAAATTAGAGACACAGAAGCTGATACAGAGGATCACAACTTATCAGTGAGGGAGGTGTTTCCCCACACAAGCTCTCTCTTTGCCTGCTGCCATCCATGTAAAACATGATTTGCTCCTCCTTGCCTTCCACCATGATTGTGAGGCCTCCCCAGCCATGTGGAACTGTGAATCCATTAAACCTCTTCCCTGTATCAATTACCCAATCTCAGGTATGTCTTTACTGGCAGTGTGAAAATGGACTAAAACAATACCCATATGTCTAATGATGCATATTTCTAAACAGTGGAATTATAGGTGATCTTCTTCTTGTTTTGTTATTTTTCTGCATTTGTGAATATTTCAACAATGCATATGTATGGTTTGTGTGCTAACAGTTAAAAATCATGTTAAAATAGCAATAATAAAAACAAAAACAAAGGGGAACAGAGTCTTAGAATTTAGAACATAAGCAATATATGAGCAAGCAATCCCAGAAGAAAAGGTTGATAAATCTGCATTAAAACTTCTATCATTTTATTAGCGATCAAAGACATAACATATTTTACTATTTAGACTATTTACATTTCCTAAAATTTCAGATTTCAATATTAATAATTAATCCTAAGGAAATTTGTCCTTATTCTATACATTTTATCTCCTTATTACCCACCATTTTCATATAATAATAATGATGGTTAATATTTGAGGGGAGTTCTGTTCATGTAGGAGCAGATGGTGTAACATGCCCAGCTTCTACAATATCTCCTTTTCCTCAGAGTTTCTATGGTTCATATGCTCAAAAGTGTATGTCATCCAGGTAGAAAATATAATAGACATGGAAAGATAAAGGTTTTTATTTTTATTTTTTTAAATTTGTCACCTTGGAAGAGAAAATGACTCTTTATTTTGTAACTCAGACAGGAGGCAAACAGCACATGGCATTGCTGACTGAGCTGCAAAATCAAAATTGACAAATCCTGGAGGAGAAGAAACTTACTATTGCAAAGTCAGGCATCACTGTGCATGCTGCCTGGGCTTCCCTGGTGTCCTCCTGCTGCGGTTGAGCAGCCCTAAGGTCCAGGTGACATTAGTCTGGCTTTTCAGACAAGTCAAAAGGAAAAAAAAAATAATTTTATCATGAGGAAATAAAAGGCTTGGCACAGAATACCAGCCGCTTTTGCTGCTCTCATTATGATAAAGGGTCAGAGAGAAAGGTTGTTGATAAAACTCAACATGGGGCTTGAAAAAAGAACTGGATTTCTTTTTACCACCAGTCTTCTTAAAACTAAAGATAACTCAAGAGTTAATAGCAAAGAGTCACTGATGACGAAAGTGCTGTTAAAATGTTATGCTCATACATCACTGGTGGCGGTGACATTCAGTACAACTCTTGGAAAATGTTTTGACAAAAGCTATTGAGAATCATATTTATGCTTTTGCATTTTGATATGTATACATTGTTGTTTACACATATCCAGACACTCATGTTGGTGTTATACACTAGGATAATCGAAGCTAACTAAACATATATTGATTTAGGAATATTTATTCAATGGTTAACAAAATGGCATATCAACTTGGTTGTAAATGGCATATCAACTTGATGGACAATTATGCAACCATCAATAGGGCCAGTTAGGTAGAATATAAAGAAACACAGAAAATGCTTAGTAATGTTGCTTGGCAAAAGCAATATATAGATATCTATGTATACAGTAGTTAAAATTTGGCCTGGTGCAGTGGTGTATACCAGTAATCCCAGCACTTTGGGAGGCCAAGGCAGTACCATCCTGGGCAACATAGGGAGACCCTGTCTCTATAAAAAAAAAGCAAACAGGCAAACAAAGCAAAACAAACGAGCCAGTTGTAGTGGCATGCACCTGTGGTCCCAACTGCTCAGGAGGCTGAAGTGGAAGGATTGCTTGAATGTGGAGGGTCAGGGCTGCAGTGAGCCATAATCACACCACTGCACTCCAGCCTGGATGAAAGAGCAAAACCCTATCTCAATTAAAAAAAAAAAAAAGAATTGTTATGAAAACTATATATATTCAAAGAAAAAGACAAAGAAATAGGCAAGTAAATATAATTTTGCTAAAGAAATGCATTAATTCTAATTTGATTGCAATTCTTCTATCTTTAAACTTTTATCCCAAATGAATTAATTAATGCAAGAACAGGAAACTCAATACCACATGTTCTCGCTTATAAATGGGAACTAAACATCAGGTACTTATGGACATAAAGATGGAAACAATAGACACTGGAGACTACTAGAGGAGCAAGGAAGGGAGGGGCCGAGGGGTGGAAAACTATCTATTTGTTGGGTACTATGCTCAGTACCTGGGTGATGGGTTCATTGCACCCCCAAGCTTCAGCATCATGCAATATACCCTGGTGACAAACCTGCACATGCATCCCCTGAATCTAAAACAAAAGTTGAAAAATAAAAATTAAAAAAAATAATACAACTGTTATGATGCCATACATTGTTTATTAAAAATCTTAAAAATAATAAAAATAATTGAATATTTAATTTTTGTATGCCTGAAAACTAGCATTTAGGTTAATCTTCAGTAAGCATTTAATGAATGACTAATTTTAGAATCTGATTTTGTAAATTATGTGATAATCAACACTAAAGAAATATGCATATAATTGCTCCTGACCTGTATTAAATTTCCTCTTACTGATGTGACATGCACAGATTTAAGGTAAAAGGGGTAACTCAACACTGAAGCAAATAGGTCTCACAATTAAGCTAATGATCTCTAATGTTTCACAGAGTTTCTCAAGTTAACACATGACATAATGGGAAATGGGAACGTTGGTAAGTTATGCTGTGGTACATGGAGGAAGATTGAGTCTCAGGTCAGAACTGAGAGGAGAGGGTTGAGGAGAAACACCATTTGCCATGTATGCCCTGGGTTCCCAGCAAGGGTCCTAGGTGCTATGAAGACTTACAGTTCAGCACACTTGAAACCTGTTAAGGACCTCTGCTCTGAAACAGGGTCAGGAAGTAAGTAGCATAAAACCTTAATGGCAAATTTGGTGGGACAATATGTAAGAGTGTGTGTGTGTGTGTGTATGTGTGTGTGTGACAGAGAAAGAAACAGAGACAGAGAGAGTGCACAAATGCACTGGAATTGCATGAATTGGGGCTCACAGAAATCCATCTTTCTGCTGTGTCCTCCCATTATTGTCTAAATTTGGTTTCCATAGATAATTGTGTAAAGAGTACCTGCTCCTCCACCTGCAAATCTCTGTAGGGTGCACCAATTTGCCCTATGAAGCTGAAAGCAAAGAAATAGGCAACCACTAGTTACTGAGGTAACACATTTACAGTCTTATATTTTTTCCTTTTTCCATTCATTTCTTAATAAAGTTGTCTGCAGTTAGGAAACAGTTGTTGAGATTTAAATCTCCCATAGTCATAGAAGAGTTTATGACCCTTTGCCTATTAGTGAACAGAGATGATTTATTGGGAGAAAAAAAATGCTCTAGGAATCCTCCAAATGTGTAAAATAATAATTAGAAAGAACAACAACTGACCTTACTTAAAATAGCATAAAGAAGAGGAAAAAGCAGTAACACAGTATTCTATAAATTTACAGAAGCATCAAACCAAGATTTTATCCCATCTCTTTGCCACTTACTGCATAAAATTAAGAGAATAATTAATTATGGGTGTCTGAAAATAAGGTATTAATTTCAAATTGTTTACATGTAAACATAATGTTCTCACTTTCTCTCTCTTTGATTTTTTTATTTCATTGCTAAATTAAGAACATCACTTAAAAAGATCTGGTGCATCATAACAGAAGCTGGGAAATTTATTAACCACTCATTTCATCAATTTCCTCCAGCATATAAATTGCTATTCAGGAGTATTCAAGCCTTTTTAACACTAGTGAGTTAGAAAAGTTATTGCTGTGGATCCCCCATTATAGCACGGAATAATAATTTTTGAACTGTGAGGTTCAGAATTTCTGCATAGTTTTAATCTAGTCTTCATTTTTATATATACTTCAGTTATTAAAAAATCAACATTACTCTTAAAAGTATTTACCAAATATTAACAATTTGAAATTACTGACATATTGTTTTATTTGCACCAAACTTTTTCTCTTACCATCCTTACTTTGTTGAATGCGTCCTGTGATTATTAAGTAGCAAAAATGGTTACCAGTTGCAACTAATCATCAGAAGATTTCCTAGGTTCTATGCAATAGAAAAAAACCTCAAAATACATTGGATGTGAAGGTGGTGGTATTGTTTGAATGTGGTCCCTTCAAAATTCAGGTGTTGCCAATGTGATGATTTTAAGAAGCTGGGCCTTTGTAAGGTAATTAGGCCATGAGGGCTTACTGGGATTAAAGCTCTTTCAAAGGAAGCTTCACACAGCCTTTGGCTACCTTGCCCTCTGTCTTATGCCATGTGAGGATGTAGCAAGAAGGCCCTAAGCAGACCAATGCCAATGCCTTAGTCTTGAGCTTCCAGTCTCCAGAGTTGTAACAAATAAATTTCTTTTATTTGTAAATTACTCAGTCTGTGGTATTTTGTTGTAGCAGCACAAACAGACTAGGTGGCAATATTACTGTAACTGTCATCCATAACCTCCAATTCCGAATGTCTGTGTTCATGAAAATAGCCTTTATTATTCTTATTATTAAAATTTATAATAAATATGTACTATAAATTTGAATTTATTGAATAAATTTATAGCAATAAAATACTCTTCTTAAAAATATCTTTAAAATAATATGGTAGTTTACTATAATATTTCATTTATATAGATGATTTCTGCAACTAACGTACTCCACAAGTGATATAGATGTTTCTGGGAACAATTTTGTATTCCATGTCTTCTGACGGTAGTGCAACTGCCTTTCTGAAAGTTTGTGCATGGTAGATAGAATAAAATCTCCAAAATAAACTTTATCAGGTAAATTTTAAGAAGTTATTTGGTGTGACAAGAAAGCACCTGCCTTTCACCTGTGAGGAGTACAGTTGGTTGACACCTTCCAGCCATAGCATCTTTGGGGCCACCTGCAGCATTTGTACCAAGGCTGACCTCTTCTCAGTGTGCCCCAGACAATGACTGAGCCTAGGATGGCCTATGGCGGGACTCAGAGATCCCCTTTGGGTTGGTTAAAATTTTTTCGAATTTGCCCAATCTTGCTTCCTTTCCCTTTTATCTTCACAGGCATTGATCTTCAGCCCCAACTTCAAAACCACTATACCTGTCTGTGTATTTGCTTCCTATAGAACCCAAAGTTTCCAATTTAGATACATGTTTATGCACACATTTTTATTATTTCAAGATATAAAAAGTTATTGTGCAAGTTAACATATGAGCAAAGTTCTTAGTATCTCCTTTAAGTTCCTGTGCTGGAGGCAGCCATTTTAAGACCTTTAAACACTTTAATTTTAGCAGTTCACATTTTGTCCACTAGGATAAGAAATCTGTCAAGAAAATCAATTTATTTTAGTCAACTCTAAGTTAGTTACAGCTACTGTTTGTACTTGGAAATATATACATATTAAAATGTGACTTTTTAATTTTTGACAGATTTTAATAAAATACATCATGATTCAAGAAACATTTTTTCTTTACAAAGAAAATTATGTAAAATTAAGAAGATGAGCAAAATATTATCAATTTTATAATGAGGAATTCACGTAACAAATTTAATAGTAGGATTTTAATTTTCTTGTTTATTGTTTATTCTTTCTTCACTTATTTATTTATTTTACATATTCTGGACTTCAAATAACTTGAAATGTCTCATGGATAGTGCCTATGCTTGATTGTCCTTCAATCCAAAAGCTTAGAAAATACCTTTTCTTATAGAATCTATTTCTGACGGTTTTGATTGAACTATTTAGGTCTCAGACCAGTTGGTCTGATGAGGCATCTTAGCCACATTATAATTATACACCTATAATCATGTGGTTTAAAGAGTAAATTCAGCAGCCTCTGAATTCTGATTGAGTTTGTTCAGGTGAATGAGGCTCCTCCTCTCCACCTCTCCAGGCTTAAACTTGGACATGTTTTACATGTAGGGCAACTGCTTGGCTCTTGCTATTTTGTGGCTCCCAGTTTACAGCAGTCTGCACGAGGTTAATTGGAACAAATTCCTTCTCCCTACTCTTTTCTTTATGTGAGAATATAATCAGAATGACTATTTACATAGTAATTTACTTTCCACAGTATCCAACTTCCTAAATTCAAATCTATATCTGTCATTATAAGTACAAACATCACTTCCTTATGTGGGTTTTATTAACTTTCCCCTTTCAATTTGGTAAAACTCAGGTACAAAAGAACAAAACAAAAACACGCAACAACAACAACAACGACAAAAACGCTTATTATGAGTATGTTGTGAAGAAATCCCTCAATGTATCAAGTGGATTAAACTTCATAATATTGAGCCATTTCACCGTTTTCAAGTAATGTTCACATGCATTTTATCACTATCATGTACAATTTGAGAAAAAATGTTTTAAAAGCATAAGAAATAGTACTGTATTTAAGAAAAAATTATAATAGATGGTCTGTAAATAACCCACAAGGTTGTATGTGTTTCTTTTTCTTTTTCTTTTTTTTTTGATTCCTTATTTTTTATTCACTGAGGGAAAATCCCATAAAGGTTGCAATCCCACTTTTGCTAAGTGGAGTACTGAAAACTACACATCCACATTCTTTGTTATGGCATAAAAATATCTTACTTTTTCTTGTCTGCATGATGTAGTTCTTTAGGTAGCTGGCAAAACACACTGCCCATTCAGCAATTATGCAATTCCCTTCTGGTGTAACAAGTGCATTCTTCGTGTCTTTATTCTTAGGCTTATTATACTGAGTTAAGAGGATTAATCTACTAGTGGAACTCTATTATTCTCTACATTAGGTCAGAAAAAAAGATTAGTTTTGCAGAGAAAAATTACAAGGCAGTAGTCACATTTGATACTTTTTCTCTGTTGTTTTAATTAAGCTATATTCTAGAATTTAAGGAATAAATATATTAATAATAAAGTTATTTTTGAATTAGAAGTAAGCCCTAAAGTTTGGCATGAACTTACTGTGTAACCTTATTCTTTACGTGCCTTTCTTTACTCATTCAGTCTCTTGTGCTGTAAACTTCTCCACACATTGACTTTTACTAAATACATATGTGTACTCAAATCTCTCCCATTAGAAAAAAATCACTCTATTTTTCAGCACAGGACCCTGTTTGTCATTAAAGGATATACATAGTAAATTTAACAAATAAACAGATGTATATTTATGATTTACAAGTTCTACTCATTCATTTGGTCATTTAATAAATATTGATTACCTCCCAGGTGTTCAGGACTACTCTTAAAATTTTTACATGTGACTTGAGAGAGTCGTAAGTTAACTGTTAACTCCTTTTCCAAATGCATGTCTTGCATCTTTTCTAGATACTTTTTCTTGGTGATCTTATTTTTTTACTACAAGCAATTTATGCTCAATAATATATTAGTAATATAATAATAATGATTTATGCTCAAAAATATAATTAATTTTCTCTCCCTCCTGCAAAGCAATGATAATACAGGGATGTGGTTCTTGATGTAAATATGTGCAGCTATTTTTAGTTAAGGCCTAATTTTTACTCTAGCTGCCTTTTATGTTCAGAACTATTTTCACTGGACTGATATTATTCCCACAATAAATCATGGCAGAGAGGAAAACTTTAAAAATGTAAAAGGACTCCTTCCATCAGTAGTGTTAGCACATGTCACCAATGACTCAGGTATTTCCACTATGGCTTTGTAGAAAACTTTTCTTTGATGTGGAAGGATAAATATGGCTTTCTAAAGCTATGTGGAATAATTTTATCTACTTTTGTTTTCTATAATTTCCACAACAAAATGTAATACATACATATATATTTTTTAAAACCCTTTCTAAAGTGGTATATACACACTGCAAACCCAATCCCCACCAATACGTCATACATCCATATAACAAACATGCACATGTATATATATATGTGCATGTACGTATATACACATACATGCATACATGTGTATATGTATGCATACAGGCATATACGTACATGCATGTACTTACATGCATATGTATATGCACATACATATCACTTACATGTATATGCACACAGGCATATACATACTTACATGCATGTGCATACATAGACATACATGCATACATGTGTGTATATGCATAGAGGCATATGTATGTATACATGTATTGACATGTGCATGAATATACATACACATATGCATATATACACACATATGTATATGTATGTACCTATATAATATACATGTACATGTATGTATATGTATGTACATATATAATTGCTTTCTATCGGTTGTGTTATTAAATAAAATAAATCTCTAAAAAACATGTGTGTTTTCCTCAAAATAGCAACTGGCATATAATAGATATTTAACATTGATTGATTAAATAATAATTCTTATTATAATTTCAGTATACTTACTTGCTACTTAGCTCAGAGGCTTACAAATTTCAGATGTTCCAATAAATAAGAGATTAAGTCTGTGAGTGACTGTGTTAAAATTAGTTTCTGTAAACTGTGGTTGTTCATCAGAGTTGCCTACAGAATAATTTTTTTTTTCTTTTTTTGAGACAGAGCCTCTCCCTGTCACCCAGGCTGGAGTGCGGTAGTGAGATCTCGGCTCACTGCAACCTCTGCCTCTCAGGTTCAAGCGATTCTCCTGCCTCAGCCTCCCATGTAGCTGAGATTACAGGTGCACACTGCTGCATCCAGCTAACTTTTGTATTTTTAGTAGAGATGGGGTTTTGCCATGTTGGCAAGGCTGGTCTGGAACGCTTGACCTCACGTGATCCGCCTGCCTCGGTCTCACAAAATGCTGGGATTACAGATGTGAGCCACCACTCATGGCCAGGACATTTTTTTTAAATGAAAAAACAAAAACAATGATTTCCCCTTCAAATATCAATTGAGCCCTTTACTAAAAGTAGTCTTAAAGTTGTCCAAAACCTTTAATCAGTCTTTAAGGAATAGTAATATCATCAATAATATCATGATATGCATCCTATTTTAACAAATGTGCAACATACCAATGTAGTACCTTAAATTACAAAAAAAAAAAAAAGTCTGTCTTGGGTTACCACTAAAATATTTCTCCAACCTCTTTCTCCTTTGCTTCACTGCTCTATTTTCCATTAAAAATTCTTTTTTTAAGATTTCCCAGTCAATTTGCCTGATTATTTTATCCTTCTGATTTTCTCATCATTGTCTTTAGGATTCTTTTTGTCCTTTCTCTCACCAGCACCTTCCTTTGATTCTCTGCCTATATTCTCCTCCATCTGGATTCCCTCCTTCATAGCTCTTCTGCTTCCACGATTTTAACTTACATTTCTATACTGACAAATCACCAAAGAACATTTCTGTCTCTGACCTTCAACCAGTTTCTGATCATTTATTTCCAGTTGCTTTCAGCTATGTCAACTTGAACGATTTGATATCCTAACAGAATTCAAATTTCTAATGTATCTACATTTTCCTAATCAGAAATTCATATGTGGGAACATCTGATTTTGCTGTGTAATCACAAAAATGTAAAGTTTTCAACATCTTGCCAGTCCTCAGGCCCAAAATGACCTATGTTACCCATTTCAAAACACGTTGCTAAAATGTTGCCAAAAATAGTTAATAAAAATGTGACAACTGTTTTTAATGCAAACTATTGACTTCATAATATTCTATGAGTAAATGTATTATATGGTTCACTCTAAAACAAAAACAAAACAATTCTAACAATTGTTAACAATGTTATTAATGATTCTAAACAATGATCCACAATCTGAAACTCTGGATGTAAGGCCAAGACTTGTATTTTCAAAAGTTCATGATGTTGAGCTAAAATATAAATCCACACATTTTTAATATCAATTGAACACACAATGGGGAAAAATAGTCTCTTCAAAGTGGTGTGTGTTGGGACAACTGGGTATCCACATGCAGAAGAGTGAAATTATCTGTATCTCCCACCATATACAAACACCAATTCGAAATGTATTAAAGACTTAAGATTAGAAACTGTAGAACTACTAGAAGAAAAGGTAGGGGAAAAGTCTCCACGATATTAGCCTGGGCAATGATTTTTTTTAAATATAAGTCTAAAAGCACAGGCAACAAAAGTAAAAATACACAATGGGACCATAGCAAACAAAAGAGCTTCTGCACAGCCAGGGGAACAATCAACAGAGTGAAGAGACAACCTATGAGATTGGAGAAAATGTTTACAAACCATATATTTGATAAGGAGTTAATATTCAAAATATATAAGGAAGTCAAACAACTTCATGGTAAAAAAAAACTTGATTAAAAATAGGCAGAGATCTGAACAGATATTTCTCAAAAGATGACATACAAATGGTCAACAGGTATAAGAAAAAATGTTCAACATAACTAATCATCAGGGAAATGCATATTAAAACCACAATAAGATATCGCCTCACACCTCTTTAGAATGGCTATTTTCCAAAAGAAAAAGATAACAAATATTGGAAAGGATGCAGAGAAAAGAAAACCCTGGCACATTGTTGGTGAAAATTAGTACAGCCATTATTGAAGACAGAATGTAAGTTTCTCAAAAAATTAAGCAGAACTACGAAATGATTTAGCAATCCCCCTGCTCAGTAGTTAATCATAGAAAATGAAATTAATATTTGAAGACATATCTGCATGTCTGTTGAAGCATTGTTCACAATAGCCAAGATATGCAAACAATCTAAGTGTCCATTAACAGAGGACTAGATGAAGAAAATGTGTTATATATACACAATGGAATACCATTCAGCCTTAAAAAAAAAAAAACAAATTGTATAGTGGTAACAATATGGATGAACCTGGAGGACTTTATGTTGGGCAAAATAAGCCAGTCACAAAAAGACAAATACCACATGATCTCACTTACACTTGGAATTCAAAAAGTTGAACTCATAGAAGCAGCGAGTACAATGATAGTTACCAAGGTTTGGGGCTGGGGCTGGGGAGGCCGCTGGGGAGATGTTTGTTAAAAGATACAAATTTGCAGTTAGGGAGAAAAAAGTAAGTTGGAAGAGATCCAATGTACAACACAATGACTATAGTTAATAAGGTATTCTTGAAATTGCTAACAGAGTAGATTTTAAGTATTCTTACCACAAAATAGAAGTATGTGAATTAATGCATATATTAATTGTCTTGCTTTAGCCACTCCATAGTGTATGCATATTTTAAAACAACATGTACATGAAAAACATATGCTGTTTGTATTTCTCAAGTAAGAAATAAATACATAATGTGGGAAACAAGCTTATAGAAAAATGTCACCACACCTGGGAGCAACAAGAACTCAATGAATATTCTTGCAATGACTTCATTCATTAACTTACTTGTCAAGAAGCTACATGTTATACTTTAATCCAGTAATCAAGTAACTAACATTTTTAGGCTTTCTGTGATTTGTTAATTAATGAATTAATAAATTAATTACATCTCAGTAATGAAAGGGCAAAACAGCTTTATGCACTCAGGCGAGTATGGACTTTGTAATACGTCAGATATGGACATATATCCTATTTCTAACCCTAATTTCCATATGACCTTGGGTAAAGGTAACCTGCTTACCTCCGTAAACCTGTTTCCTCATCAGCAAGTGCATTCAATTAATCTCATCTTGCATATTCTCATTTCATCTAGAAAATTTCAGAGATGTGTTTGGAAACTACCAGACCAATACAACACACAACAATACAGCAAGAGCATAGTTTTTTGCTTTTTTTTTTTTAATTATACTTTAGGTTTTAGGGTACATGTGCACAACGTGTAGGTGAGTTACCTATGTATACATGTGCCATGTTGGTGTGCTGCACCCATTAACTCATCATTTAACATTAGGTATATCTCCTAATGCTATCCCTCCCCACTCCCCGCACCCCACAACAGGCCCCGGTGTGTGATGTTCCCCTTCCTGTGTCCATGTGTTCTCATTGTTCAATTCCCACCTATAAGTGAGAACATGTGGTGTTTGGTTTCTTGTCCTTGCGATAGTTTGCTGAGAATGATTGTTTCCAGCTTCATCTGTGACCCTACAAAGAACATGAACTCATCATTTTTTATGGCTGCATAGTATTCCATGGTGTATATGTGCCACGTATTCTTAATCCAGTCTGTCATTGTTGGACATTTGTGTTGGTTCCAAGTCTTTGCTATTGTGAATAGTGCCACAATAAACATACGCGTGCGTGTGTCTTTATAGCAGCATGATTTAGAATCCTTTGGGTATATACCCAGTAATGGGATGGCTGGGTCAAATGGTATTTCTAGTTCTAGATCCCTGAGGAATGGCCACACTGGCTTCCACAATGGTTGAACTAGTTTACAGTCCCACAAACAGTGTAAAAGTGTTCCTATTTCTCCACATCCTCTCCAGCACCTGTTGTTTCCTGACTTTTTAATGATCGCTCTTCTAACTGGTGTGAGATGGTTGTGGTTTTCATTTGCATTTCTCTGATGGCCAGTGATGGTGAGCATTTTTTCATGTGTCTTTTGGCTGCATAAATGTCTTCTTTTGAGAAGTGTCTGTTCATATCCTTCACCCACTTTTTGATGGGGTTGTTTGTTTTTTTCTTGTAAATTTGTTTGAGTTCATTGTAGATTCTGGATATTAGCCCTTTTTCAGATGAGTAGATTGCAAAAATTTTCTCCCATTCTGTAGGTTGCCTGTTCACTCTGATGGTGGTTTCTTTTGCTGTGCAGAAGCTCTTTAGTTTAATTAGATCCCATTTGTCAATTTTAGCTTTTGTTGCCATTGCTTTTGGTGTTTTAGACATGAAGTCCTTGCCCATGTCTATGTCCTGAATGGTATTGCCTAGGTTTTCTTCTAGGGTTTTTATGGTTTTAGGTTTAACATTTAAGTCTTTAATCCACCTTGAATTAATTTTTGTATAAGATGTAAGGAAGGGATCCAGTTTCAGCTTTCTACATATGGCTAGCCAGTTTTCCCAGCACCATTTAGTAAATAGGGAATCCTTTCCCCATTTCTTGTTTTTGTCAGGTTTGTCAAAGATCAGATGGTTGTAGATATGCGGCATTATTTCTGAGGGCTCTGTTCTGTTCCATTGGTCTATATCTCTGTTTTGGTACCAGTATCATGCTGTTTTGGTTAATGTAGCCTTGTTGTATAGTTTGAAGTCAGGTAGCATGATGCCTCCAGCTTTGTTCTTTTGGCTTAGGATTGACTTGGCGATGTGGGCTCTTTTTTGGTTCCATTTGAACTTTAAAGTAGTTTTTTTCCAATTCTGTAAAGAAAGTCATTGGTAGCTTGATGGGGATGGCATTGAATCTATAAATTACCTTGGGCAGTATGGCCATTTTTACGATATTGATTCTTCCTATGTGTGAGCATGGAATGTTCTTCCATTTGTTTGTATCCTCTTTTATTTCATTGAGCAGTGGTTTGTAGTTCTCCTTGAGGTCCTTCATGTCCCTTGTAAGTTGGATTCCTAGGTATTTTATTCTCTTTGAAGCAATTGTGAATGGGAGTTCACTCATGATTTAGCTCTCTGTTTGTCTGCTATTGATGTATGAGAGTGCTTGTGATTTTTGCACAATTGATTTTGCATCCTGAGACTTTGCTGAAGTAGCCTATCAGCTTAAGGAGATTTTGGGCTGAGACGATGGGGTTTTCTAGATACACAATCATGTCATCTGCAAACAGGGACAATTTGACTTCCACTTTTCCTAATTCAATACTCTGTATTTCCTTCTCCTGCCTGATTGCCCTGGCCAGAACTTCCAACACTATATTGAATAGGAGTGGTGAGAGAGGGGCATCCCTGTCTTGTGCCAGTTTTCAAAGGGAATGCTTCCAGTTTTTGCCCATTCAGTATGATATTGGCTGTGGGTTTGTCATAGATAGCTCTTATTATTTTGAGATACGTCCCGTCAATACCTAATTTATTGAGAGTTTTTGGCATGAAGGGTTGTTGAATTTTGTCAAGGGCATTTTCTGCATCTATTGAGATAATCATGTGGTTTTTGTCATTGGTTCTGTTTCCATGCTGGATTACATTTATTGATTTGCATATGTTGAACCAGCCTTACATCCCAGGGATGAAGCCCACTTGATCATGGTGGATAAGCTTTTTGATGTGCTGCTGGATTTGGTTTGCCAGTATTTTATTGAGGATTTTTGCATCGATGTTCTTCAGGGATATTGGTCTAAAATTCTCTTTTTTTGTTGAGTCTCTGCCAGGCTTTGGTATCAAGATGATGCTGGCATCATAAAATGAATTAGGGAGGATTCCCTCTTCTTCTATTGATTGGAATAGTTTCAGAAGGAATGGTACCAGCTCTTCCTTGTACCTCTGGTAGAGTTCGGCTGTGAATCCATCTGGTCCTGGACTTTTTTTGGTTGGTAAGCTATTAATTATTGCCTGAATTTCAGAGCCTGTTATTGGTCTATTCAGAGATTCAACTTCTTCCTGGTTTAGTCTTGGGAGGGTGTATGTGTCAAGGAATTTATCCATTTCTTCTAGATTTTCTAGTTTATTTGCATAGAGGTGTTTCTAGTATTCTCTGATGGTAGTTTGTATTTCTGTGGGATCAGTGGTGATATCCCCTTTGTCATTTTTTATTGTGTCTATTTGATTCTTCTCTGTTTTCTTCTTTATTAGTCTTGCTAGAGGTCTATCAATTTTGTTGATCTTTTCAAAAAACCAGCTCCTGGATTCATTAATTTTTTGAAGGGTTTTTTTGTGTCTCTACTTCCTTCAGTTCTGCTCTCATCTTAGTTATTTCTTGCCTTCTGCTAACTTTTGAATGTGTTTGCTCTTGCTTTTCTAGTTCTTTTAATTGTGATGTTAGGGTGTCAGTTTTAGATCTTTCCTGCTTTCTCTTGTGGGCACTTACGGCTATGTTTTTTTGTTTTTGTTTTTGTTTTTTAAGACAGGGTCTCCCTCTCTCACTGAGGGTGGAGTGCAGTGGCGCGACCTCAGCTCACTGAAGCCTCCTCCTCCCAGGTTCAAGCAATTCTTGTGCCTCAGCCTGCTGAGTAGCTGGGCATACAGGTGCACGCCACCACACCCGGCTAATTTTTGTATTTTTAGTAGAGGCAGGGTTTCACCATTTTGGCCAGGCTGGTCTTGAACTCCTGACCTCAGGTGATCCGCCCACCTCAGCCTCCCAAACTGCTGGGATTACAGGCGTGAGCCACTGCACCAGGCCGAGCATAGATTTTAAACCAGGAGACATCTTAAAATGGCAGATTTCAAAACCTCCTTTCAGGACTCAGTGGCATCAGAGTCAGAATCTTTGTGAGTGGATCAAATATCTACATTGTTATTAAGCTGTCTGGCTTTGATCCGATGTACACAAGCCAAACATTTAAGCACAATTGCCTGGGATGAGGACATAGTATATACCTCATAGTCATTTTTTTTTTCTTTTTCTTTTTTGTGTTTTGAGATGGAGTCTCACTCTGTTGCCCAGGCTGGAGTGCAGTGGCGTGATTTTGGCTCACTGGAAGCGCCATCACCCAGATTCACGCCATTCTCCTGCCTCAGCCTCCCGAGTAGCTGGGACTACAGGCACCCATCACCACGCCTGGCTAATTTTTTTTTGTATTTTTAGTAGAGACGGGGTTTCACCGTGTTAGCCAGGCTGTTCTCGAACTCCTGACCTCGTGATCCGCCCGCCTCGGCCTCCCAAAGTGCTGAGATTACAGGTGTGAAGACACTGCGCCCAGCAATAGTCATTATTCAAAGTACTTTCAAACACATTCAATTCATTCAGTTCTTACAAGGCAGGGCGTCATGGATCCATTCATTCATTTATTAACCAGGCAGTGATTATCAGGCATCATGTTAGGTACTGAGTGGTAAAATGGGAAACAGGCCTAGGTGTTCCTTAGTCATGGAGTATATAATAAAACAAAGTTCATGATATTTATACACAATATGAATGTGCTTAATGCTGCTAAATGGTACACTTGGAAATAGTTAAAATAGTGAAGTGTATGTTATGCGTATCTTACCACAATAAAAAACAAAAAGTTGACCATATTTATTCTTTATAGCAATTATTCCTAATAGTAGATTATTCTAGGAGAAACATATGAAAATGTTAGTTTCAAGGGTTGGGAGATCACATAAGACTTAAAACGTCAAGTAGTCTCCACAAATTCTGAAATGTTTTCAAGGTATATAGCATTCCCTCAGCCATGAGGTAGTGACATGGAATACACCAGCTCTTTTACTGACTTGACCGACATCTATGTCAAATTATTTGATCTCTCTGATGTTTATCTTTCCTTATATAGATCAGCCTCAAGAGTTAACACATTAAAGTTAAGGAATGTCCAAGACAGCAAGAGACAACCTCAATGTCAAAGTGAGCCATAGTGGAGACAAATGGAGTCCACACAAAACCAATTATAAGTTAGTTCAAATGCTGCTAGTGGTCACTTCAGATATCTTAGCTTGGCTACTCTGTAATTAGTCACTGCTCTTCAGAGGACTTCATTATCTCTGGAGTATGCCACCACAGAAAAAGATACAAATATTTGCAATGTACCATAATTGATTTTAGATACTTTTATATGCATTACTTCATATACTTACCAATTTTTTTGTAGTGAGGACATTTAAAATTTACTCTCTTAGCAATTTTCAAGTACATACTATATTGTTATAAACCGTAATCACCGTGATGTTCAATAGATCTCTTGAACTTATTCCTCCTATCTAACAGAAATTTTGTGTCCTTCGACCTCAACATCCCCCCATTCCCTCCAGCTCTTGGCAGTCATCATTCTGGCCTCTACTTCTATAAGTTCAACTTTTTTAGATTCCCTATATACGTGAGATCATGTGGTATTTGTCTTTCTGTGCCGGTTTATTCCATTCAGCATAATGTCCTACAGGTTTATCCATGTTGTCACAAATGACAGGATTTTCTTCTTTCCTAAAGGCTGAATGGTATTCTATTGTGTATATATACAACATCTTCTTTATTCACTCATTGATAGACACATTTTTAATTGGTAGTATTAGTTTTGATGAGGTATAACTTCTAAATATATTCATTTTTAATTTCTTTCTGCACTTCCAAAATTTGTCCACCAGTGACATACCTAATTTTTGTAGTAGTAGTAGTAGTAGTAGTAGTAGTAGTGTTTCTGAATCTATATTTAAATGAAGCTATACAAAGCTTTCATTAGAAGATATAGTAACATAGAGACGAATCATTCTCCAACTTTGTTGTGCATGAGAAATGTTGGAATTAATTTTTTTTAAATTTCTAAGCCCAAATCCAAAAGATGCTTTTGCAACTATAGGTTGTAGATAAGGATATGTGGTTTTAACAAGGTTGTGGGCTGGGTGTGGTGGTTCACGCTTGTAATCCTAGCACTTTGTGAGGCTGAGCCAGGCAGATCACTTGACGTCAGGAGTTCAAGACCAGCCTGGCCAACATGGTGAAACCCCGTCTCTACAAAATATAAAAACATTAACCGGGCATGGTGGTGGACACCTGTATTTTCAGCTACTCAGGAGGCTGAGGCAGGAGAACCGCTTGAATCTGGGAGGCAGAAGTTGCAGTGAGCAGAGATTGAGCCACTGCACTCTAGCCTGAGCAACAGAGCAAGACTCCATCTCAAAAACAAAAGCAACAACAACAACAAAATAAGGTTGTGAAGTAAGTTGTTCAAATAAACACTCCAATTAAACTCCCATTCTTACCCTCTCTCACCAGTATATTAATATTAGATGTCGGCAGGTCCGTGGAAAAAGATACATTGCTTCTTTTTTCACCTCATAATTATATAGTTTTCTTGCTTATATATAAGTAGAAGGGCAAATGACAACTCAAAGAATAAAATACACCATTCTTTCTAGTCTTTCTCATACTGTTTTTACACTAATAACAAATGTTTATATAGCAAGCATTGTCTTTACTTATTGATAAGTAGTTTTACTTTCTCTATTTTAATACAGAAAATTAATAGAGAATTAATAGAGAAAATCTTCAGATTCTTTGCACTTATGAGTGTGTATATATGTGTATTTATATAAGAATACAATTCAATTTAAATTACTGATTATAATTTGAAAAAACTTCAGTGTTTTTGAATTTCTCTGATGTTGCTGACGATTTGTAAAAAAAATTATTTATAGCCTATGATAAGATGTTACTTTTGAAGTATGGTGTCTTCCTGCTTTCCACACACTTATAAAAAAGCTGTTAAAACCAAACCATGTTAGTTATAAATATTTATAAAGCAAAATCCTATCATGAGTTTAAAACCACATGTCAGTTTTTCACTACTCTGTAACAGTGATTAATATGAACTAAGTGGAAGCTGCCATTTTACTGATTCTTCAATTTAATTATTTATGATTAGAAGTGAACAGAGATCGAGATGTGCTCTTGAAAGTAATTCCTCTCATAGGATACTCATGTCTTTGACTTAGATATTTTTAGTTCACTTCCAGTATGCCTAATGCTTTCTTCACTATTTTTCTTCAGACTGTGAAATTATTTTTAAAATAGCTCTTCTTCAAAAGAACTAGCAACAACCAACAGTATTCACTATTATTCATCCAAAATGTTAGAGTCATGCAATAACAAAGGCAAATACGGGGTACCTATTTGTAAATCAACAGGCGGTTTTCCTCATACTTAGAAATCAGTTGGGAATTTAGGGGGAAAGAGGCAACATCAAATTAGACTGCAAGATTGGCAGCAAGAAATGGGTCCTACTTTCCGTGCTCTTTCTTCAATTCTTTCACAAGTGCCCTTGCTTTTGAAAAGAAGGAAACTGAATTAAACCCTCAGGCTGTTTCTTAAATTAATGGAGAAATTCCCCCCTCCTATTTCTTCTACCATTTTGAACTTTCCTTAGAGGCCCACTCTGAGGGATGCCCTGATTCAGTGGAACTAAACTGAATTTAAAAGGCATAGTTATCTAAGCTCTCTTTCTAGCATGAAAATTAATTAGCAGTGCCCTGATGTAGCAAAAACAGGGATCTTGTTTTAGCAGTATTTGGGAAAATTGCAGTCATTTACCATGATTGACCTCTGCTCAGTGTTTCAATTAGCAATTGCCTGCTCTCTTTTATTGATAATTCCTCAATTTTCCTCACTTTGCTCATTGTTTAATAGTGAATTCTCATTGATGGGATATCCTTTTATTAAAGAGTTTTCCCCCAAGTCTTGACCCTATGACAATACCTCTTTAGGACCACAGTTTATTGTGTACTATTTATGTTAAAGCTGAAAAAAATGCTGAGTTGTCCTTTCTTGAGGTTGAGGCTGGATAAACTCTGTGGACTCTGATTGTGGATCTCTTATCAGAGTGCCTCCTAATCCCTACCTAATGCTTTGGTACTGTTTTAGATCCCAGAATCTTAGAGTAATCACAGAGTGGGTAAGAGGTGATGTTAATATGAGAATAAGATTCAGTTTTTCCATCAGATACACAGAATGTATGTACAGAGTCAAAAATTAATTTCCATTATAGAAAAATGAAGATTATGTTATTTCTTAACATCTGATTTTGTGGTCTGGGCTTCATTCCTGCAATAAACCTGACAAGTTAAAGTGAGTCTTTTATAGTTTAGTGCTTTTCTTCATCTACACTTCAGCAATATTAACTATTTAATTAAACGAATGCAGCTTCCAAAAAGACCACACAAAACAAAACACTAATTACGAAGATATGAAGACTTGAAAGAAAAGGATAAATAGAGGTATATATAATAACTTTATCCTACTGTATTTGAAGAAGTGTTGCGAAAGAGTTACTGGTCATCATTAGCTTTGTTTCATTTCTAGGTTCTAGAGAATAGAGAGTTAATTTTAAGCCAGGCTTTGATTGTAGCCAAGTCAAGTATTATAAATACATTTCACTTTCTTTTTTGAATATACTAATAAATTGGCTTATGAAGGATGGAACTAAGATAAGGAGAATGAGTTTCCTAAGATGCAGACTTTAAGTGGGGGCTAACTTTCAGGGTTATGGAAATACTGACCGTGCATGCGTTTGTATTACCTTGAGAGTGTGTGTCTCCTTAAATTTTGCCTCCTAAGTTTCTCATCCTCTCACCCTGGTCTTAGCTGTTTGACTTTTAATATTTGTATTATTGTTAAAATACCAGGTAATGTAGAAACAGACTTGCTTTTGAAATGAGGCTAATACATTAATGTTAGCATTAGAACACATTGCTCATATAAACAAATTGCTACGTTGCTGTTCATTCTTTTACTGTTAGTATTTGTCTTTATCATGAGTTGTGGCTTTTGATGCTATAATATTGGCTTCATTTATGTTACAACTAGTCCAGTGTAGATTTTTCAGAAAAATAAATATTTAAAGATCTGCTTTTCCTCTGACTATTTTTAAATTGAAACCCCAGAACACTTGATCCAAAAATGTTTTAAATGCAAGCTGAGAGTTCACTTACTTGGTGCATGGTTTGTAAGTCTTACAGACTCCCTGCAATGTGAAACATCTCTAGTGCTGAACACCACTGACTTGTGCTATACAGAAGAGTTCTGTAACAGTAAACTTGTCTTAGAATGAACATATCCTGAAGACTTAATTCTACCTTAAAAAACAAAATAGGGTCATAAGACCACATTATTCTGAGATGAATAGTCATTTAAACAAAACAGAACAAAACAAAACTCTAAGGCTAAAGAACAGAAACTCTGGTAAAGGTCAAGGCAAGGAAGCTGGCCCGAGCACTTCAGCATGAGAGTGAAATCCTCCCATCTCCAGAGTTCTCGTTAGGGCTGAGTGAGCCACGAGGCACAGTGGGCATGGTGCCTAGGGCCCACAAAACTGTTAAGTACAAACAAAACATATTTTAAGTTTATTTTAAAATCACAAGAAAAAATGAATCTAACCCAGCTGCATATCTTTATAATAACACAGTTGTAAAATATAATTACTTAATATATATTTTTAATATAAGAAGAGGACCACAGAAGCAAACTTTCCTATGGCCAATGAAAGTCATAATGTCGCTGTGCCCATTGTCTCTGGAAAAGATTCATAATCCTGGAAAGAAGCATTGATAGTCTAGTTTAGGTCACAAGTCCACCTGCTTGACTCAGTGCTGCTAGAATTTGAATAGAGGAACAGATTAATAAATGGGGTAAGTGCCTGATGGCTAAAAAAAAAAAAAAAAACCAACAAAACAACAAATGTCTATTTCATATGGGTGGCTAGGCATTATGAATTTTAATAATGGGTGTTCATTTACATTGACGTTTAAGGAATCATTGTATGAAAACTGCCAATTCCTTTCAACATCAGTCTCCTGGTGAAAAGGTGGTGCAAATAGATATGTCAGATATGTATGCCTCATCTAGATAGTGAAAAATACTGACAGACCAGTTTTCCATCCACCAATTTGTCCTTCCATATTTAATGCCAAATGTAATTGTAATGATTTTTTAATGGTATAATGTTCCCACCTCTCCCTAAACATCTTCTCTATGTAAGGTTAGGTTTTGTGAGATGTATTAGTTTGTTAGGTAGGGCTGCTGTGGCAAAATACAACAGATTGGGTGACTTAAATATGAAAAAAATATTTTCTTACAGTTTTGGAGGCTGGAAGTTCAAGATCAAGGTGTAGGCAGGGTTTCTTTCTTCGCACTGTGTCTTCATGTGGTCTTCCCTCTGTGCATGTCTATGACCAAAATGTCCGAATTTCCTCTTTTTATAAGGACACTAGTCATATTGGATTAGGGCCCAATCTAATGACTGCTCTCAAACTTAGTTGCCTCGTTTTTTCTTATAATTTTTTTATTTGTACAGATGGGATCTCAGTATGTTGCCCATGCTGGTCCTGAATGCTTGGGCTCAAGCGATCTTCTCAACTTGGCCTCCCAAAGAGCTGGGATTTCAGGTGTGACCCACCACACTCAGCCTTAATTGCCTCCTTAAAGACCCTATCTCCAAGTACAGTCACATTCTGAGAGTTAGTAATTCAACATATGAATTTTGGGGGGATACAATTCATCTCATATCATAAAGTAATAAAAATAGATTAAGCATGCAGTTCTATGTAAATATGTTTAAGTTATTATTACTACAGGTTTTATTATTTAATATAAGGCATGCCTTAATATGAACTATGCAGCTGGAACAATGGAGGGTCATGAAGATATAAACTTGTGTCACTTAAGTCCAGAGGGCATTGGGCCACTATGACATACACAGGTTGAAGAACATAAACTTTTTTGTGATAAAGCCAAGAAAAACGTTTCCTATAAAGCAGTATTTCTAATACTGTGAACCTTATATCACCTAGAATAGAATCACCTAGGGTGCTATTTATTGGCTTCACCTCAGTTCCACTGACACAGAACCTCTGGAGGTGGGGACTCAATCATCTGAACTTTAATAAAGCTTTCCAGGTGATGGTGGTACATAGTGAAGTTTGAGAACTGCTCTGGAGTCAGGTGGTATTTTTTGTCTTTTACTTTTTAATTTAATATATTTCAGATTCACAGAATTGGCATAATGATAGTCAGTAGACTTTATTATCATTTCTCAGTGGGCTGTATCTATCTATCTATCTATCTATCTATCTATCATCTATCCACATCTATCATCTAAAATATACTGAATGTCATTGAACTAACCAAAGAACTAATATAATACATTGATCATAACTGATATTTACTAATATGTTTTATTATAACTTATATTTACTAATATGTTCTCCCCATGCCATCCCCCAACCCCCCTCTATAATGACCACTATCTGAATTTGTGCGTATTTTTCTCTATCTCAAAAAAGTACATATATATAAAAATCTACATAATACATTTCTGTATATACATATATATATAGACACATGT
Source organism: Homo sapiens (assembly GCF_000001405.40). Lineage (NCBI taxonomy): Eukaryota > Metazoa > Chordata > Mammalia > Primates > Hominidae > Homo > Homo sapiens. Next base: position 82,181,566 of record NC_000003.12, read on the forward strand.
GTCTATATCTCCACATCTGTCTATCTATAGTTTTAACTGTTTTGAACTTTTAAAAAAGGGTAGTAGGTTGTTCATAGTCTTCTAATATTGTGTTCACCTCCTCCTCCCCACTGACAGCATTGTACATTAAATTTCATCTAAGTTATTCCAAGTAGCTTTATAATTTGTCTGTTTTCACTGTTGCAGGTATATATGTTCATTGACACTATTACAGAATTTTCATTTTTTGAGACGTGGTCTTGCTGTGTTGCCCAGGCTGGTCTTGAACTCCTGGGCTCAAGCAATCCTCCTGCCTTGGCCTCACAAAGTGCTGGGATTACAGGCATGTGCCACCACACCTGGGTTGCACTATTATAGAATTATAGTGCATGGATATATCACATTTAATTATTCATCTCCTTTTCAGTTGGGTTAATTTCTCATATTTCCCTATTATAAATAACCTTGCTAGTAATATTCATGTATATGCGTCCAAGTTCACAAATGTGAGGCATATCGTTGGATAATGCCTAGCAGTATAAATGTTGAATAGTTTGATATGAGAATAACTTTAAATGATATTGCCAAATTATTTTTCAGAGTCATTTTAACTTTATGTTCTGATCAATGACACTAAAACTATCTTCTCTAGCACATGATGTGATCAGGGCTCTTAAATTTTGTCAGTGGGTGGATATAAAATGGTATCTTGTGGTCTTGATTCGCATTTCCTTAACCACAAAGAGGTTGAGCCCGTCTTCATATTCTTACTGGTAATTATGTGTTTCCTCTTCTCTGTAATACCTGTTTGTGTCTTTTGCCCATTTTTCTGTTTGTGTCTGTTTTGCCTATTAAGTTGTTTATCCTTTCCTTTTTATTTTTTAGAAGTGATTCTTTGCTTTAATATATCCTTGGTCCTTTTCTCCTAACAGTTTTTACTTTGTTTTCCCTTACCTTATGTGCCTTTTGAAAAATCAAAATTCTTCATTTTAATAGAGTCGGTTTTATCAATCATGTCTTCTAGCTAGCATTTTTTTTGTCTTGTTTTAGGAAATGATCTTTATCCCAAGGTCAGAAAAGTATTAATCTATATTTTTGACTAAATGTTTAAAGCGTTGTTTTTGATATTTATGTTTGTAATCTATCTGAGTTTGCTGGAGTGAAAGGCATTAGGTAAGGATCTAGTTTCCTACAATTTTTTTACCTATAGATGGTCGTTTTTCTTTGGTTTTATTAATTGATTTTTTTTTTCATTTTGAACTGATCTTGCATACCACTCTTGTCATATATCAAGTTTTCATATATGCATATCCGTCTAAACTCTTTATTACGTTTAATCTGTTAATTTATAAAACTCCAATACAATGCTACTCCTATCATATTTATTATAGCCTCATAATAAGTCCTGCTACCTGGTAGGGTAAATCCTCACTCTTTATTCTTTTACTGCAAAAATATCTTGGTTATTCTTGGCCGTTTAATCTTCCATATAAATTTTAAAACCAGACTGTCAGGTTTTATTAAAAAAAACCTTATCTGTATCGAGTGACTTAAAAAAAATTCATTTACTCTGTGGACTCACCAGAATGACAGAGAAAAGGAAACAGAACTATTAGTCTGGCCTTGAAAGCTATTATATCAGAATCACTTAATGTTTACATATATTTAATTAAAAATATATGTTTAAATAGTATTTAATTTGGGATTTAAAATTTTATGTTTGCTTAGGGCATTGAAGAAAAGGATTGTAATCTAAAGTTTGTGTTTTTTTCATATCATCATGGTTTGCATATTGGGAGGATTTAGAGTGATGTTATTTCAGCTTCACTTTTACAGTTAGTTGCAATGTACTATTTGGTTTCTTCATGCCTTTTTATTTTATAGATATTCAAGCAGAAATTACTATGCTTTTCATTATAAGGTGGTTTATTTACTACTAATTAAAAATAAATGAACCCTCTTTCACAAATTTTAAAATTTTGTTATTGGGATAAATACAAATTGATTTAATATTCCTCTTGATAATAATAAAATGGCACACATCACCCCATCCTTATCCCTGTAAGAAAAATAACTTTCAAACATAATGTGTAACCTGGATAAGCACACATAATATGGCAATTACAATATGACTCCATTCTCCCCTTACCTCATATATTCACTGATAGTAAGTTAGGTAGCATATAAATCTGCAGCAGCAATTTACAGAATAGAAACCTGGTGATCAAAAGGAGTTTGTGTGGTTTCTTAAAGTATGTTATTTATTCATGACACATAGCTTAGAAAGTGATAGAATTTAGCATAGTGCATATGTCTGCTACTTCATTGTATTTGTGTTAGCAAAAAGTTTTTTTTATTTTATTTTTTCCCCTAGTTCAAATTTGCTCAAGGACATAGAATGTGAGGACGTTTAGTATTCAGGTGCAGTGTACTCTGTTCTGTTAATTCCTTTTATGTGGAGAAGCTGGAATGTGAAAAGGTTGTAAAACAAGGAAACAAACTCAAATGGTTATTTCTTCTTTTAGTCTAAGTCCATTATAATACAGTGCCAATAAACATGGTGGCTAAGATATATGAGTGTGAACCACCCTATTTGTGTCTGAAATTCACTAAGACCGTGATTCTAATTTACGTTAGATGAAAAGGTATTTACAAAGCACAAAACAAAAGATATAATTGAATAAATGTGCAATTTCTATTCTTCTGTTCTAACCACATTCTTTGCAGTGAGCTTTGCTTGGGTTTAAGCTTTTACCTTGAACTGAAATCAGAAGAAATTGAATTCTAAGGCTTGAGAACTCCTCACTGAAAAATCAGTAAACTGAAGGGAGGGAGAAAGGCAAACTTCATAATTGAGAAAAATTAAAATCTTCTCTGTAAGTGAGGTTATATATACAAGATTAGACCACACAGAAACAACAACTGAAATGAAAGTGTGAGTCAATGGCACACAAGACATACTGCAGGACAAATTATGTTTCCAATACAGATGAAATCAATTTCATGCACAATTTATTAGTGCTGTCACGGATGGTCTGTCCTAAGACAGGATCTAGGTGAATTGAGTTATTTACCTACAACAGTAGCAAGTGGTCTTTTAGAGAAATGTTTTTTTGAACTTCTTCGCTCCCTAGGGTGCTTGTTAAAAAAAAAAATACAGATTGCTTTGCCTTACTTCAGATCTACTGATTCAGAATTTACTCTGCAGGAACTTGGAAATCTGTATTCATTATCAGTTAATTTATGAAAACACTGCCTTAGAGGAAGGTCATGTATGAACCAGGAGAACCCTAGTCAAGTGTGTTTGTGTGTTTGTGTGTGTATGTTGGGATGGGGGGTTACTTTACAGAAAGTAATTTTTTTTTTTTTTTAGACACAGTCTTGCTCTGTTGCCCAGGCTGGAGCGCAGTGGTGCCATCTCGGCTCACTGCAACCTCTGCCTCCTGGGCTCAAGTAGTCATCCCACCTCAGCCTCCCAAGTAGCTGGGATTACAGATGTGTGCCACCACACCCAGCTAAGTTTTATATTTTTAAAGGAGACAAGATTTCCCCATGTTGGCCAGGCTGGTCTCGAACTCCTGACCTCATGTGATCTGCTCACCTCAGCCTCACAAAATACTGGGATTACAGGCGTGAGCCACTGCACCCAGCCTAAAAATTTAATTTTTAAGATTGTATCTCCCTAAAAATGCACCAGCCTGAATAGAAAGATCTAGTTAATATTCAGTTGATTTCATTATTTTCCTATTAGGTATAATTATGACTTCGACCTTTGTTTTTTATTTTATTTTATTTTATTTTTGTCAGGAAAACGCCTATTTTGGAGTGAAACCAGGGCCGCCTTATGAGCTAAACAGAGTGTGTTACAGCTTCAATAGACTAAACAAGCTCTAAATTTATCTTCCTATGGTAAGTAGAAAATGATAATTTAAAAATGTGCTTTTTATTTATCTCCATTAAGCCAACATGAAGAAAATTTAACATCTGATTTTTTTGTTAGTACATAGAATAGAAAGTTGTTTAAAGCAACAACAAAAGCCAACCAGACAATTTTGGATCAATAAATTTAGAATGTGTTCTTACAGCTAAAACTTTATAAAGAGAATTTCAACTTAGATATTCAAGAATGACTCCAACATATTTTCCTTTGAAATTAGAGCATTTTGCATATGTAGCTTGCCAGGGAACTTTTGGTTTCTAAAAGAAGTGGTTTCTTTTTACAGCAAGATACCCATTTTTCTAGTAGGAAGACAGGTTCAAAGAGATTCAGGAACTTGCTTGGAGGTGCACATCAGTCACTGGAAAAGTCAGAAATCAGTGAAGAATTCCTTACTGACCACCCAGCCTCTTGTGGAAATGTGTTTGTTGCCCGTGCACTTTCTGAGACAACTTAGCCCTCGAGAATTCCACATTTCTTGTTTTGTTGTCCAGAGTAGCCTTCCTTTCAGCATTGCAAGTGTCAAAATTGTTTCTGTCGATGATTAGGCAAAATAAATGCTTTTTCCTTTACGATTTAATCTTCGTGGAGCCTTTTCACAGGAGCCAATGTGGGGGCAGATGCTCCATAGCGCAAGCCTCATCTTTTCCTCCTCCTGTGACCACCCGCTTCCTGCCTCAGCAGTTAGATCCACCTCACAGTCCAGCTGCTTCCTCAGTTCCAGGCCCCATGGCTCCCTCAGTTATGGCACAAGTGCTGTGTGAGCAGTGACCCTGGTGGCCTCCCTGTCATCGTCCAGCTGCCTTTAGCCTGAGCACTGACTTTAACAGATTCCCCTCACATGTCCACTGTCAGCCTCATGCCAGACTTCACAACTTCCCTCGTCCATTTTGTTACCCTCCTGCTTCCTCTGTGAGGAACTTTGGAGATTCACAGCCCCGTCTGTCCACCAATGCCTCAGAGATGAGCTGTGTAGGAGGTAGGGCTGCCCACCTCCTTGGAGCTGCCCACTCTCATCTCTGAGGAGAAAGTGAAGTTTAGAATGCTTCTCCAAGATACAGTTGACAATGTTGCTCAACTACGCTTCAAATTAATTTGAATTTTATGAAAATAAGCATAAAAAATATGACTACATCATACTGAAGTCTGATGCAAAGTTTCTCTCTCAGCAAGCTTAAAAGCCAAGCATCATCAGAGATAGGTAGCATAATTACAGTAGAAAAGATGCCAACATATGAATGAAAATATGCCAGGGTACTGGATCCCTAATTTTTTCTTGACATTATCAGTGTTTCTAGCCTCCAGAAGTCTCTTTGCTCACCTGGGTCTTAAATACCTTATTAATAAAATGTAAATTGCAAAATTTAACCTGCCTGAGGACCAGGACTTTAGTCAGGTATAATTTTAAATTAAATACATTTCATCATAAAAATAATACTAAAAATTTAACATTTAACAAAATTTGACCTTTAAACTTTGTTTAAAAGATAACATTTTATGTTTTTTAGTAACATAGGAACAACAATATTTTGAAAAAATATAAAACAAGAAGCAAATCTCTTAATAAGACTGCTGGCATTTTTAAGGATTTCTTTTTGTGGGTACACAGGCATATATTTCTTCTTTCTCTTTCCTTCTCTTTACCTCTCTCACACACAAAATTGTGTATTTTTAATTCTTCACTTTTTTTTACTCAAATTACATGATAATATATATTATAATATAAATTAAATTTTATTATAAGAATAGTTTTTTGTTTTTATATTAGTTTTAAATGTTTATATTATACCCTATAATTCTCTCATCTTTTGACTCACACTTTTTTGCAAATAAAATTTTAATGATAGACATTTATTAAATGTTTCTTATGTCAAAATTATTTTCCATATACAGATGCTTCTCAACTTACAATGGGTTTATGTCCCAATAAATCCATCCTAAAGTAGGAAAATTGTAAGTTGAACCATGGTAAGTCGGGAACGGTGTTGTGGTATTTTATTTGGTGAACATTTAAATTGCTTAAATCTTGTTTTATTTCCAAAAGTTTTAAAATAAAATAGCTTTCAAACAATATAAAATAAGAAGATGAAAATATCGCCTGACAATATCAAAGTAATGAAAAATAAGCAGAGAAAAAATAAACTGAAACAAGAATTATGAAATACATGCTGTTAAGTTTTATGCATTCATTAGAGATGTGCATCAAATTACATTTTGGATTTTTAACAGCCAAATTGAGGAGAAGGGGTGTTGGCTAGCATAAAGGTATAATTATTTACATATCCTAGTGATATAAAATAAAATCAACCCCATTTCCTGAAAATGCAGCTTTTCTTGATATAGAGATCTCAGGCAATAGAGTTGTTAGATTATATACTTTTATTATAATCTTTAAATTTAAAGAATATGCACATATTTATAATTCTTGATACATATTACCAATTTTTTTCCCCAAAACCAGCATGGGCATTTTCACATAAACTTTTCAGTGCAATAAGTGGTAATAGCTCCTTTTTTATTAATTTCTTTAATTAATCCCATTTCTTTGTTGGTAGCAAGACTCAACATTTTTTTCGTTGTGTTTGCGTCTTGTTGTATTTGCTGGCTTATGAGTTGCCCAATCCCTTCTGTCTGTAAGATTTTTCATAAAGGATCTTACAAAGGGAAAGTTTGGCCCGTGGTGTTCTGGCATAGTCTATACAGGTAAATATTTCGAAGTTGGTTAAGGTCCAGCTTTTCCACAACTGAGGCATTTATGTCTAATTGCAATATTCTTGATTATGGCAGAATCTAGTCCTCTTTTGTATGTACGTTTTTAACAGAAACATCACTCAGAGTTACCCTGCCTTTTGATTTTAATATATGTAAAGTTGCAAAGAAAGAGAGCAGCAGATAACAGGGTGACAGTGCATTTTGTGATTTTGTTTGTATCAGCCAGACTGGCCTACTGTAAGCTTGAAATCTAGAATTACCTTGCACTTTAGATTCAAAATTTTTATAATTATATTTTCAATTACAGAGATAGAAGTTTTCATTCATTCTGTGACAGTCTATCTTTGCTGTAGCCCACTAGGAATAAACTATTATCGAATTCTCTTGATACTTTTTCCTCTTGCCAAACATTTCAGGAACAATATTAAATCTGTGGTTTAAGGACTCATTATACTAACACATTATTCTTATCACCTGCTTCTCTGTGTTGTGCTGATTCCAAAATAATTTAAATCATCTGCTAAAAAGGGTGTTTTTTTAAGTTTTTATGTTGTATGTAATAAGCATTAGTTATGCTAACATTATTTTAAAAACAAACCAGCATGTTTTGAAGCACTGCTTTTAATCAGATAACTCTGTAAGCATGTGGCCTACATAACCTAGAGTCTTCTCTTAGTACACATTTTTGAATGTTTTGAAGAAATGCTGGGTGCGGTTCCATCAGAAAGGCAACCTGTTCATATTCCATCACACTGACTGCATCTGCTCCAGCCACATGCTGTGTGAACTTGGACTGCTGGAGTCAGGGGAAAATCACTACTGCCACATGATGCTTTCCCCGGAAACACATGTTTTTAAAAATTTTGCAAGGGTGAAATAGAAGATGGTAGTGGTATAAAAAAAAGCAAGCACATGAATCTACCTGCAGTCTAGGTCTTAGAAGACTAGTGCCTAATTTTTTGCTACAGAGTTTGATGGATATGAAGAATGTTGAAAAGCCTGGGGGATAGAACAAAACAACAAAGAAAAGAATTTGAATTCTTTAGTCTGAAGAGAAGGTTGGAAGGTTAAAGACTATCTTATTAATGGAATTCAAGTTATACAGAAGTTTTGTAATTGAGTCAAAATGAATTAACCTTTTTCAAAGGCAATTTTGATTTCTTTTCCAATGTCTTTAAATAAGAGCAAATGAGGGAATGATAGAGGAGGAGGGGATGATGGAATATCTTTGAGCATAGGCAATTTTCCCTGGGATTTCCTTTTTCTCACCTCATGATAGTATACACTCAGGACTTAACCTGAAGATTTTTTCCCAGTTCTTTCCTTTCTATCTGTCCTTTCACCATTTCTATTCAGAATGAAACATTGACCTGACAAAACTATCCCAGGACCACCCCTGAAAGGAGATATTCTGAGACTGATACAACTGCCTTCTGATGTTAGGATGAGAAAAAAAAAAAATCAGCTTCTCAGAAGTTACCAAGCATGATTTTAATTTGGTATAAAATAGAGCAGCCATTTCTGGTAGTGATGGCTGTTACACATAAGAGTGCTGTTGGAAAATGGAGATAGATGTCTCTCTCCCTGAATCATAGGAGTTAGGTTTTCTGGTTTTAGAGATTTTTGAAAAGCAATAAATGCCCCAAATGGCTTGCCAAACTTTTCATTCCAGTTTATAGAACAAGCTAAGTATTCTTTATCTGAAGTGCTTAGGATAAGAAGTGTTTCAGACTTCAGATTTTTTTTCAGAGTTTGGAATATTTCCAAATACAAGATGAGATACCTTGGAGACGCGACCCAAATCTAAACACAAAATTCATTTGTGTTTCATGTATACTTTTTATGTATAGCCTGAAGATAGCTTTATGCAATATTTTAAGTATGTCCCCTAAATGAATAAACTCTGTGTTATACACCAAGTTTTTACTGCAAACTATTACATGAGGTCAGTTGTAGAATTTTCCACCTGTGGCATCATGTCAGCACTCAAAAAGTTTTGAATTTTGAAACACTTCTGATTTTTTGTTTTAGGGATGCTCAACCTGTATCCCAACATTATAAACATGTCCCTAAATTCTAGACTACTTAAAGTGCTCGATTCTTTCTGGAAAATATTTGGCTTGCTGTTTTTAGTTTAAAATATAATCTGAAGTTCATTATTGTTATTAACCAAGATTATTTTTGAATGATCAAAATATGCTTTAAAATCATAGAGTTTTGTTTGTTTCATTTTAGGAAATAAATACAAGGCTAACTTTTAATTTTCTTAGTTGTCATGGAAAATCAAAATTAACTACACCTTAAATTTGTATTGGTAGTCAATGTTAGGTGATCACTAAGTAATCTGTATTTAAAGTATACAAAATTTGAGTTTAATCATATAATATTAAATGTTTTTCATGTTTTTTATGTCTACTCAGAAATCTATCCACTGCTTACTATTGACCCCCCAAAAACCACTGTGATGGTGGATTTTATGTGTTAACTTGACTGGGCCAGGGGATGCCCAGATAGCTTGTTATACATTATTTCTGGGTGTGTCTGTGAGGGTGTCTCCAGGAGAGATTAACTTTGAATTGGAAAACTGGTTAAAACAAATTTTCCTCTCTGATGTGGTTGGGCATCCTCCAACCCACTAAGGACCCGAATAAAACAAAAATGAATTTTCTCTCTCTGCCTAACTGCTGGAGTTGTAGCATTGGTCTTCTTTTCTTGAACTGGGACTTCCAGTATTGGTACTCCTGATTCTCACGCCTTTAGGCTTAGCCTACAATTTATACTATTATCTTTCAGAGTCTCCAGATTGTAGATGACAGACCATGAAACTTCTCAGACTCCATAAACATGCAGCCAATTACTAAAATATTTTATAATTATTTTATTAATTTTTTTGTAGAGGTGGGGTCTTGCTATATTGCCCTAGCTGGTTTCAAACTCCCAGCCTCAAGTGATCTTCCCACCTTGGCCTCCCAAAGTGCTGGGATTACAGGGGTCAGCCACGACAGCCAACAGCCAATAGTCAATTTCTTACAGTAAATATCTATCTATCTATCTATCTATCTATCTATCTATCTATCTATCTGTCTATCATCTATTGAATCTCCTATTAAATCTCCTGTTAGTGCTGGAGAACCCTGACTAATACAGCCATTATAAAAATCTGTTGGTCAGGAAAAACTTAATAGATATATGGCAGTGAGTGAGAGTGTCTCTCGATAGAGTCTTAGCATGGTTTGAGAATGAGAAATAAGAAGAAGTTATTTCTTGAGTTTGAAAGTCTGAGCTGGGCAATCTTAAGGCAGGCCTTGGAAGGAGAACTTACAGGAATTTGTCAAAGTTTAGGACATAATAGCTTTGGATCTGTAGATACAGCAAGGTGAGGATCTCCAAGAGAATCTGGATGAACAAGCTGTTAATCTTGGTAAGTAAACTCTTTAGTTAATACAGTCTTATCTTATAGTAGCAGATGTTTTATGGAGCAATAAGCTAAGTTATTTTGCTTGATCCCAGCATTGTTTAACACAGGGACAAGAAAGTATGCCTGGCCCAAGCATTAGCATGGTGTAGGGAATTATGTTAGTTTAAATTTATTGACTTTATATTGGACCTTGCAAATCAGTAATTATACAATAGAGGACTAAAATTCTTAATTGCCATTTATTAAAAACAGTTGAATGTGCAATTGTAAGATCTATTTTTTCTTCCATAATAAGAAGACAGATTAGCTTTTATTTTCATGTATCACATATCAAATATTAGTGATTCTATTGATGTTTCCAGCTAATATGATATTTTAAGTCATAGTATAACATTTTAATACATGAATTCCTTATTTAATTGTGCTGTAACCAAATGTCAAACCTCTTTGAAGTTTGCACATACTGAGTTAATTTTGAAGCATATTCATTAAGACCTTGATTTAAAATAGTGTAAATGCTGATAGGCAAAGAAATATATAAAGTTTACTGAAAAAATATTTCTTAATAAAATAATATAATTTTCATGTTACCAGAAAGAGAACAGAATGTAAAATAAAACCTGTAAGCCTAAAATACCAACCTATTAAATACAAATAATATTTTGTATATAATATCACTGGGCACAAATATCTTGAATTAATATTAAAAATTTTAATAGTAAAAGAAAAATTATCCTTAAATTATAGGTGGGAATTGAATAATGAGAACACACGGACACAGGAAGGGGAACATCACACACTGGGGCCTGTTGTGGGGTGCGGGGAGTGGGGAGGGATAGCATTAGGAGATATACCTAATGTAAATGACGAGTTAATGGGTGCAGCACACCAACATGGCACATGTATACATATGTAACAAACCTGCACGTTGTGCACATGTACCCTAAAACTTAAAGTATAATAATAATAAAATTAAAAAAAAAGAAAAAAAAAGAAAAATCATCCTTAAATGTTTGTTCAATGGAAGGAAGAAATGGATAATTTTACAGACATGTAGCCATTACAATTATGTTCATGCAAATGTTTCAATTATGTAAACTTGTGTATGGGATAACTCAAGTGTAATGAAACCAGCAAATCATATTTGCTGTATATATAATCTTGTGGAAGACATTATCAGTTGCCTCCCAAATATCTAATTTATTCCATTTTACTTGCACTGATATTTGAGGGGGAGAAATGCCACCTAAACACAATCCTGGCCCAAATTTCTTTAAGATACAGGTGGCCAAATGATATTCTGCTATGGATTTCTGGGAAACTTTTGTTTTATTGACCTAAGTACTGTTCCATCCTCTTTGATGCTTCCTTCTTCTTTCTGGGTGTAATACAGGGAGCATATCTTGCCAGTATGAGGTTGCCATGAAGATACAGCTGTAATGTAAGGATGCAGGAGTAGGAAAAACAAAGGGCATGGTCCCTGTAGGTACTATAGCAGCCATGGACTGCCTGTCTCTGTATTGCTTATTGTGCTAAAACAAACAAAAACAATAGTGGAAAAAAAAAAGAAAACATTTGGGAAGAAAACACCTTCTCGTTAATTAAGCCCTTGTAATCGGTTTTTACTGCATGCTGCAGAACACAATTCTCAGCTGCCACACATCTCAATTCTGCTAAAAATGAAGTAAATAAGTGAAAGATAGCAAACCAAATATTAATTGTAGTAATTTATGCATGTTGTAGTTGTTGATAAATTTAAAGCTGCTATTCTGTCTGTGCTACAAATTTTTAAGCACGTGCAGTGATTGTATGTTTATTTTATCATCGGAAAAATGAAATAATTGTATTTATCTATATTGAAAGTGAAAATCCCTTTTAAAGGAGATTTATAGAGTCACAAGTTTAATGTGCCTATATATTTTCATGACACATGTACCAGACATGCACATAAAAGAAATAAAGAATGCTGATATTTTATGTGCAGAAGAAAAGTTTATTAGGACACTAATATGCCTTTTAGACATACTAGGAGTCTGCACAGTCTAACAATTATATGAACAAAGAAATTTCAACAAATTTAAGCAGAAAAGCTGTGATGTTTCTGTTTCTTTCATAGGCTGTTTACAAACTTTAATTCAATATACAGACTTACAGCACATCGTATTTAGCAACACCCATGGAAAATTAATAAGTTTTCCTAAGTGTATGTGAGTGTGTTGGCAAGTGTATTAGTCCATTCTCACATTTCTCTACAGAGCTACCTGAGACTGGTTAGTTTATACAGAAAAGTTTAATGGACTCACAGTTTTGCAGGATGTACGGGAGGCATGGCTGGGGAGGCCTCAGGAAACTTACCATCATGGCAAAAGACGAAGCAAGCACATCTTCACATGGCTACAGGAGAGAGAGCTAAAGGGGAGGTGATGCACGGTTTTAAACAACCAGATCTCGTGAGAACTCAATCATGAAACAACACTAGGGGGATGGCGCTAACCCATTAGAAACCACTCCCATGATATAATTACCTCCCATCAGGCCCCACCTCCAACATTGGGAATAACAGTTCAACATGAGGTTTGAGTTGGGACACACCACCAAACTGTATCAGCAAGGTGAAGAGAAAGGGCTGTTGTTATATGGATCGGCCCTTTGTGATCAGAAATTGTTCACAAAATAGTTCAAAGCGTTAGAGGTGGTTCTTTTAAAAGTTCTTTCTTTGGTTAATGAGTCAGTCTCTTGTAGTGTTAATATTTATGAAATGAAACATGTTTTGGTTTCTGTTATGAACTGAAAATTTAAATGAGAGAGTCTATAAGTTATCCCAAGCATTCTGGTGAGGATTTCCTTATTTTCATTTCTGTCTTCCCTCCCCAACCCCCTGTAATTTGGTAGCAAGATAAATAAATGGATTTTATGGTTTCAATGAATTGGTTTTTAATGTCAAAAATGTTTGAGGAAATTACATGGTTCTAAAGTGTAAGATATTCAAAACTGAGGTAAGTAAAAGACATGTAAGAAACTTTTTATGGAGATTTATTTATTTTTTGTTCCATAGATCATTCAACAACAGTGGCTGGGCCACTGTGGCTATCACATCACTTCATTAGCATTGCAGGAGGTTAAACAATCAAATTGAGATCTTTTTCTGTAAGTGTTCATTGTAGTTCTAGAGACCAGACCAATAGGAGACCAATAGTTTATATAAATGTCAGAGCTAGAAGAATGCTCACTGCTCACTCATTCTATTCCCTTTATTTTACAGATGAGGAAACTAAACGACTCCAAACAAAAAGAAGTCCTCTAATTTCCCCCAACACGTCAATTTTTTTTTTTTAACCTCAGGACCTGAACACATTTTTATTTGCTAGGACACATCCTGACTTGCTTAAATAACTCTAAACTTATCATCTTCTTCCAGGATTTCCTGCACCAAACAAATCTGGATTAGGCTTCCTTCTTCATTCACTCAGGGAAACCTGTACATCATTTCTTGTGTCAGTCACCATGCTGAGTCATAACTATTATTTTACATTTCTTTGTGGCTCTCTAATTGTAAAGTAATTGAGGGTGAGCAAGAACTAGGTCTCCTTTTGTTCATCATGGCTCCAGTATACAGCAAAATAGCTTACACACAGTAGGTGATCAAAAATGTTTATACGTTGAATGAATGACTTGCTGAAATTTATCAATTAAATGTGTAATTTAGTAAACGATGTTTGTCAAACATACACATACCTACATATAAAAGCGAAACATGTATTTCTGTTTAGGGATTATTACAATATAGGTGAAAAAAAAAGCAGAATAGTTCTAGTTTAGAAGAAATTGTGGCTGTTTCTTTTGTTTGTAAGTAGCCAGGAAAACAATATATTAATTTTGTTCAAAAGTATAAAATTTAAGTTTCCCAAGAAACACTGCAGTTCTGTGATAACAATGCTTTTCCCAGAAATAATGATGAATAAACTATTGCATTCACACAATTAAATTCTAAGCTGCAATGGGGGTAAATGAACTATACCTACATGTAATACTACAGATGAATCTCATAAAAATGATGGTGACAGAAAAAAGCAAGAAAATTAAAAGTATATATTTATAATTGCACTTATAATACTCTTCAAAAATAAATAGGCAAAACTTATCTGTGATGTTGGAAATCGGCTTAGTAGTTTACCTTTATGGGAGTAGTGATTGGGTAGAGGTAACAAGATGTTTCTGTGGTGCTGACCCCAGTCACCTTCTTCCTATAGGTTCTGGTTTCATAGGTCTTCATTTTATATACATTTATTGTGACATATGTGATAATTTGTTTACTACCTTGTGTATATTTTATTTCAAATAAAACTACATACACATGCCCTCACTCCCCTAAAACTCAAATTTAAGGACCCAGGCCACGGTGCTGGCCAATGAAATAATGAGTTACAATTTACATACACACATAGGCATTGGTTTATACTCACTGGTGGGGATCTATGAATAAATGTCTCAGTTTTTCCGGCAACTCATGAGACTATGGCATTGTGAAGTGGAGTTCACTTAACACATGCTTTATTGGTTTTTCTACCTACATGCCTCCTTTTCTCCACTTCCTCCTGTGTGTTTTCCTGAATCACTTCCTAATAGAATAGCTACACCAAAGGCCTTGCCTTAGTGCCTGCTTCGCAGGGAACACAATGATACTCTTCTAACACATATTGTCATTTGGGAATTTTTTAAGTTATAAATTTGTCTTTTCCATTTTCCTCTGAATTTCATGGACATAGAGCTTTGCCAGATGTGTAAATCATAAGAGAATGTTGAATCCTACCTCCTTTCAGCATTTTTATGAAGATGTCTAGACAGAATGATTAAATACGAGAAGTACTTGCTTTTCACAATATTTTTCCGCTCCTTGTCCAGGATGAGTGCCTGTAAATAAATTTTTAGTGACTTTCCTCAATGTTAAGATATATTAATATTTCCAGGAACCTGTTTTTAAAATGCCAGAGATGATCCATTAGTATATTATCAGTTGTTATTATCTTAGTCACACACAAATGTTTTCAACTTGACACAAAGCTCTTGAGAGGAGGACCTGTTCAATGACAAGTTCACAGGGAAGCCTTCCACTTTTTCTCTCTTCTTTACACCTGTATAGGCATCATGTTTTAAAGCCACAGTATTATTTTGCTAAGACTGCCAGAGGTACCACAGACCAGATGGCTTAACCAACATAAATTTATCTTCTCACAGCTCTGGAGGCTAGAAGTCCAAAATCAAGGTGTCAGCAGATTTAGCTTCTTCTGAGGCTTCTCTCCTTGGCTTCTCTTGTGTCCTCAGGTGGCCTTTCCTCTGTGCATATATTTTTCAGGTGCCTTTCTGTATATCCTAATATCTACTTCTCATAAAGACACCAGTAAGGTTGCATCAATGCAAACCCTAAGGGCTTTGTTTAACTTAACTACCTCTGTAAAGTCCCTTTATCCAACTGGAGTAACATTCTGAGGTGATGGGGGTTAGGACTTCAACATAAAAATTGAGAGAAGACAAAAATTCATCCCATAACAACCACTTTGGCTCTAGAAAATACAATAGTAGAGTCCACTGACAGGAAACAAGGAGGAAAGCTGGCCATTTCTGTCACTCAGCAGACAGAAATGAGATGGTAGGATCTTCCCAGGCTAAATACAAGCAAAGGTGAGGTGACGTATGCAAAGCAGAAATTCTCATCAGCGATAAGTAGTGAGATTTTTCTGGAGTTCGATGCCACCTGTGCTGTTTTGGTTTGGCTGCCAGAAAGTGTACCAATTTAGTCAAAGAAGGGCACATCATATTACAAAGGTACTCATTGGTTTTTCAGTTTGTTATTGCAGAGTCTTTAGAAACGGACTCTACTGGGACTTGTGGTTCTGCATCTATCCCTAACTAGTTCCAATATTGTACCTGTTACTTAGTCTCTTGATTCTTTATCTGGGAACTGAGGATAATATTTCTCTTGAAGGATTCATGTGAGGTATAAATGAGACGATGCATATACATTACCAAACAAATAGTAGGCCTTGATATATGCTCAATCAACCTTTATGTCCTCTGCTCACATTATCTCTATGTTCACATGTCCTGAGAAAATACTTCATAAGCCATGTAAGTTTTGAAATGGTGGAGAAGGCTGAAGCAATAGAAAATTTGGGTGGCCAGGAGCAGGAGAATACTTAGGAGGTTGGCAAAATAAAGTATTCAGAAACCTAAGGGTAGATAGGCAGAGATTAAATAGAAATTTAGAATTTTAAAATCCTATCCTTGGCTAATGTGTTGCATATGTAAAGGGCATTGGCAGAAATGACATTGTTTATAGAACCTAGTAATAGTAACTAATCAGGCTTCAGAAGATGAATTAAAGGAATACTTGTTCCCCTTCAGAGAACACTGGTTTATTCATTGCTCTGTATGCCACCTCAATATTGTATAGTAAACTGGAAGGTCAAAATGAGCATCTTTTTAAGGAGTTCTGCGCTTGTTTGTTGATACTTCTTCTAATTGCTTACTTTCTATACTTTTCTAGGCATTTGCCTAATGGATTTGGGATATTGACAATTGTAGAGCCATGGATTTGAGCTGTGCAGTGTAAACACCTAAATGTTTGTTTGTTCTGTGCACACACTAAGAAAGTAAACGTGGATGTCTTTTAAAATCATGAACAACTACCATAGAAAAACTCAGGTTAAAGCAGAGTCTAAATCATTCTCTAAAATAGCAGAACAAACAGGCACAAAGCTTACTGGTGCTTGGCCATTTTTACATTGACTACGGCCATGTAATTCCCAAAATATTGCTCCTTCAGTATTGTGTGCACTCTGACATATCACCATTTCCTATCTTAGCAATACTTTAAATAATATAACTAACTCAATGGTTAAACCTCTGAAAATTTGTTTTTTTAAACAAGTTTTATTGTTAATTGCCTAAGACCTGCCGATTTAGAGTATGCTAAGTAAAGTTCAAAAGCTGAATGGTTTCTTTTCTATTTCTTGTTGCTTGTGGCTCGTTAAATTAGAGTGTAGGAGAAACTGTGACATAACAAAGGCACACAAAAATGGACTGGAAAATCATAAGGAAGAAAGATGTGATGACGGCTATAAAAGGCTGGGAAAGATGATACCAAGGACAAGGATAACAGGATGGGAAAACAAGTGAAAAAAGAGATTATCACACTATTAGGGGCTCCTTTTCTTTGTCATCATTACCAGCTTCTCTCAAAGTAAATGGCTTCCGAATAGTATATATATATATATATATATATCTTTGAGGATGTATTTATGCACAACTCTGCCCTGAAATTCTGCTGGTTCATTTAAACAGGCATATTTTTGTGTACATCGTGTTCAAGCTTTGCTCACTTAAAAAAAATAAACCTTTACAGGTATCGAGAAACTCACGCCGTATAACACTAATGACTTTAAAAACAAGCTCTATCCATCTCACTACAATAATCACTGTTCCATTATTAATTTTAAAAACCCTTCAAATTAATCATGAAAATTCCCATTTAGAAAAGTCTCCTTGACTTTTGTTTTACATTAGTAGTTTTTGGCCAAAGGTATGAATTATGTAATAAACCTATATAGTACTTATTAGTACAGCTAACAGCAACAGCACACCCTTCTTCACAAAAATACAAATATCTTTTAAAATTTTAAATTTCTGTGTTTTCAGAGTGCATAAATTTGACCTTGTTAAGTCCAAAAATATCCTTTTGATCCACCCTTTGAGGATGAATAAGTAGTATAAGTTCATCATGTAGTGTACTTATTTGAAAGTGTACTTTAGTTCCACAAAATAATTTTAGGGATCAGGCTAAGATATCATCTTCCATTACCCATCTACTGTCTACCTATCATCTAATCGATCTCATCTGTCTGCCTTTTATCTATTCATAAGATGTATATTCCCACTTTCATCAAAATCTGATTTGAATATGGGCATACCTGTCTGATTTTTGTTTTGTTTTGTTTTTGGCTACACATTCAAAAACATGATGAGGAATGTTAATCTATCTTGTTCTGTTTTGAAGTTTTTCTTAGCCATTAGTGGCAGTGTTTTTGTTTTTGTTTTTGTTTTTGTTTTTAACTATACAGGGTACACATCTTGAAGGAATGCTGCAAAGACTGGTGATGAAATGCTTGACAGCTGTTAGAGTTGAGCAGGTCATATTTTTCTTTTAAAAAAGAAACCAGAGCAGCGATTCTTCCCTTACTGCTCAGTGTCTTTTCATGATTTAAGTTACCTGCCATCACAAGAGAAATTTGACATTGTTGGAGTAGTGGACTTTTCATGTTCTTTCATTTTATTTTATTTTTATATTTTTTGCCAAGTAATGTTCAGAGCCCCCTTTGTTGTTCTTATTGTTTAGGTGAGGCTCTATAAGCAGCAGAAGAGAAAGTGGAATTAAGAGTAAAATCTTGACTTATTCTATTTGTTTGCTTTCTCTCAATAAAGTATATTAGGTTGGGAAAGAGTAAAATTTAAAATGATTAAAAAACCTATATTAAACTTTCTTTTACAATGAAATTATGTACAGTTCATTTGGATAATATTAGATCACTAAGAACTTAGGCATGAATACATTCCATCAGTGCACTGGTTAGTAAACCTTTGTCATAAATAAGGTTGGCAAATTATCCTGGTCATAAGCAAATAAGGAGTAAGGATGAGGTATTTTACTTAATTACTTTTGTTCTCTTTCCCTGGCATAAATATGTAACTGAGAGGTAATCACACAAAATATATAGTTGTATTTTTGTGTGTTTGCTTTTAAACATTGTATTTTCAGGGTTGTCAACATAGAACATAGCTTCTTTAGAGTCAAGCAGTTTTGTTGTGAGCCAAAGGTTACCTTAAGCCATGAAATAGTATATTTGAATAAACAATTCATGAATGTAGTTTATCTTTTTATACTTCCCTAAATGTATGAATTGTTTAAGTATCTGCCCATAAACCCTTGACTCTGCTCTCTATACTCTCTTTGCAATGAAATCTACTCCCAAATATTCATGATGCTGTGAGCTATCATAATTCCTGGAACCTTCTGATTTCACCTACAGTTGCCTCTGAAGCAAGCAGGACTGCCTGCTTCAATGTCTCTGAAACAGTTGAGCAGAGGATTGATACATGTGAATGGGCTTCTGGTCTCAAACAGAGTTCTTCTGTATAGAACACACCACAGATTTGTCATTGTCCCTCTACAAAATATCTCATTATTTATCTTCCTATCTCTGCTGTGATACATGTATGTAAAAATTGCAAAACATCTCAATGATGTTTATGCCCCCCAGAAGGTACTGTGTGAGCATAAACATCAAGAAGATGAGATATTCTTTGAAAAGAAAGGGGAATAAGAATTTATAGATTATCTCTGGGCAGATTAGAAGAACATATCTTCATAATTTTACAAAAATCAAAGCTGTCCCTCAGCCCAAAGCTGCATACATTCCGTGTTCTCTCTCACAAATCGTGCTTATCCTGACAAATTGGTCTTCTAGTCTTTCACTTTAAATTAAATATCTAAAACCTCAAAAATCTGAATTCCTTTTAAAAGACATGATTTGACCATAGCCCCATCACTGTCTCACCAAACATCTGACTCACTTATTCATAAATATTGCATGATATAAAGTCTAAAACTAGAACTTAACCTTCTTTTAGTCGATTAAAAATACACTTCTTCAAATAGCAGGGAGTCAACCAAGTAAAGTAATTAAAATATGTAAATGAATCATTTTGCTGTTTGAACAAGTGTAGTGAACAGAAAGAAAAAGATAGAAGATTGCATTTGGAGAGACTCTCTAAAAGAAGGACCATTTCTAATTTTAGTCTTTATGTTGTGCCTCTTGCCTGTCATGGCAGATTTTATTCATCTAAATAACTGCAACACCATCTCCCACCCCACATGTTCTTCTAACAGTGTGACTCCTCACTTCTCTCACTGAGAATCGACGTCTGTATTTTCTTTAAATGCATCTGGATGGAAACATAATTGCTCTCATCAAGAGAGTACAGCAAGAGTGGTGCTATGTGACTTATAAAACTAGGTAATAAAAGGAATAAAAGATCCACAGGATTCTTTCCTGTGAAACTTGCACTGGGAACCAAACCACCATACTCTCACGAAGCCCAAGCTAGCCCATGATGATAGACCACAGAGAGAAACTGAGGTGCCAGCCAGCCACCGTCATCCACCAAACATATGAGTGAACAAAGCTTTTGAGTATACCACCTGAGGGCCCAGCCAACGTGGAATAAAGACAAAGCATCCCTGTTGTGCCCTGTCCAAATTCCTGGTCCTAGGAGTCCCTGAGTACCATAATTTGTTATTCTATGCCATTAATTTTGGGGGTAATTTCTTATATAGCCACAGTAACTGGAATATCTACTTTCTCTTGAGTGAGGCATGAGAAGAAATGAAGAGAGTCAAGTCATTGGCTGACCTTACATTTAGTTTGACTAAATATGCATTTAGAACTAGGTGTCAGATATTTTTATTTGATATGTACATTTATTTCTAATTATATTTTAAACAAAACAAAACTAAACTTAAAATCAATGAAAATCATACTTTTGCATTTACATTTCTATGTGTTTGCGTGTGTGTGTGTGTGTGTGTGCATGTGTGGTTGTTTCCATCTATTCCCTGATTCATTGGCCCACACTGTATCAAATCTTGGGTCTTTTTGTGCAGGTCACGGGATCTCATATATTCTGGCTGTCATTGTCATAATAAGCCACTCTTGGTCATATGGAAAAGCATTCAGCTGCTCCCTGCCTTTGCTCACAGCGTGTGGTACTCTCTTAGAAGCTATTCCTGGTGAGTATCTGGCTTGCGACTCCCTGAAGCTCTCTCAGTGCAATTCTGTACTAATCTCCTCTGTGCTAGCGAAAAAGAATATATAGGGCTGACCACACTTTTAATCCTTAATATGACATCTGATTTAATATGTCTATATGGAATTATGAAAAAAGTATTCGAAATATTTGAGTTACTCATGTTGAGAAAAGATAGAATAATGACTCTTAGGATATATATGGAAGAAATGTAGAGAATTCACACTTCAAGTGGGATGTAATTTTAGAATAGAATTGTAGAGAGAAATACTACAACTGTTGATATGTATTTAGAGCAAATTTTAGAAAATTTAAAATGTGACTTAATTTAATTTCATATAACAAATCCCAAATGGGTTTCCTAAAGGTTTTTTTTTTTCTTTTGCCACAAATGGATTTCCCTTTAGAGTTATGTCAATGGGAATTTTTTTTTCAATGAGTCAAGTAGCAACAATAACGTGCTAACATTTTTTCCTAAATGTCTTTCCTAAATATCTTAATATTTGTATGTTGTAGCTGCTGAAATATCTGTCATCAAAGGGACAATAATTCAAATAAGCACAAAGCTTAAACACACATTTTACATATTATTGGATTCTTGGTTTGAATGTAAATGTTCTAAACATAGCTTATTGACACAATGGTGCCATAATTAAAAATAGGCAGAAATTATCTATAATGACCAATTTTCTAAAAACATAATTCTTTTGAAATGATATGTTTTAAATTTTTTACTCAGAGAAACAGTAGAACATTTTAGTTAGTATTGAAAACTTTGGTAAAATTAAACCATATTAAAAATGTTAAGAGTATCTATTTTATACACATACAAGATTTTGAGGGATGTTTTCAGTGTTTTTTGCCAATTTTAGACAATGTACCAAATGATAGAATTCATAGTAGTTTCATAGGAGCTTGACTATGTCTGTGGTTTGCAATGAACACAGATGCATTTATTTTGATATTAGATATTTAAATGCATGCAGTTAATATATTTAAATTTATGATTACATATTCAAACTGTATGAAAGCACAAGGTATGTGAAAAGCTTATCTTATACATTTTTTCATTCAACAAACACAATGTCTGGACAGAGATTCTCAATCTGAGACTGAGTTATTATTGGACAGATGCTTATTGTTTTCTCCATGTAAGACTGATTTTTTCATAGAAATAAAAAAATACTTTCTAATTTGCTCAACTATTTTGATCTTGTCTTACTTTTCAAAAAGCTTCCTATGAAATGCCTAGTCTTTTTAATTTCTTCTTATGATTTTTATTCTTAATTTTTATATTTATTATTGTTGTTTTGTTGTAAAAATTGAGCCATCTTGAAGATTATGAATGATTTAAGAAAACAGTTAAATATTAGAATAAATGAATGTATCATCCAACTGTTGTGTCCCAAGAGTCTAAGAAAGAAAAACAAATCAGGAAATAAGTTACATTACTATTCAATGAGAAGTAATACAAATTTAGATCCATTTAATTTAAAATACTTTTATGTAAACAATTAAGTGAGAGATGAAAGAGTAATTTTACAAGCACTGTTGACAAATGGTGTAATTAGAAAGAACATGTGTATCAAAGAATGTTCCTTCACTAGATCATTTTGAATGCGTAAATGACATTGAAACCATGCATCAAATATTGAAAGAAATAGGATATAATAGCATGAAGGAAAAAGTGAGACTATGTGTATACAATAATTTTCTTTTCTATCTTTTTTTTACTATTTATTTACTTATTTGTTTTGAGGATTTCATTCTAAAAGAGAGGATAGGAAATAAAAAAAGAGAACGGAATGAGGAGAACTGTATATTTACATTTATGTCAACACATTTAAGTTGATAAATTTGAAAACTATAAAATAATTACTGTGTATTTATCAAGTAGTATTCTATCAGAGAAAAAAATCAAACTGAGTAATATGCAGTAAGAAATTTATGGTGGTAATTGACCTTATCCAATTGTGAAAACTGGTTTTGCAGTCCTATTTAGGCAGTTATTCCTGCTTCTTGTGTTGGACCTGAAGTCAACAGGGCCAGCAATAGAGAAGAAAGATGATGTGAAGGAGAGCAACTGAAATGGGAGAGTTCTCTGACCCACTCGTGGAACCTGCTTGGGCTGCCATGTGCTCAAACCCTTTATGGAGGGGAGATGCAGACAGGTAGGAGCCAGGGCAAGCACTTTTGGGCTCCAGTCCCACAGTGGCGTCTAGGAGTGTGTTACAATTAATGTTCTTTTAGCAGTTGCCATTCGTGGACAGCTAAGTGTTTAACCAGTTCAGTGGAGAGTCAAGGTGACAACCTTTTACACCTTTCCCTCTTGGTACCGAGGTCCTTTGTCCAGCATCCAGGAAGGATCAGGTCACATGGATTTGAAGGATAGTGAATGTGGGGATTTTATTGAGTGATGGAGGTGGCTATCAGTGGGATGGATGAGGAACTGGAAAGGAGATGGAGTGGGAAGATGATCTTTCCCCAGAATTGGGCTGTTCCACAGCTGATTTCCTCTCCAACCCTAGCCAAACTCCTCTGGACGTTCAAATGCTCCTTCTCCTTCTCTGCTGTGCTGCTCTGTCACTCTGCTGCTCTGCCTCTCTGCCGCTCTTCCGTTCATGGAGCTTAGGGTTTCGGATTTTTATGGCTACAAGACTGGGAGTGGTGGGCCAGAGTGGTGTTGGAAAAGGCAAAATTTGGGAGTGAAAACAGGAATGCCTCTTTCCATTTAGGCCTGTGGGTTTCCAGGTTTGAAGGTGGGGCCTTTGCTGGGGAACCACCCTCATCTACTCAGTATTTCCTTGCCTCCTGTCCGTATCACAATGACAAGCTGTAATTTGGGAGAATGGACAGAAATCCAAAAGATTGAACTGGAGCCTGTATGCCTCTGTCTCACCTCTTGCAACTTTGATGATATGGGTAACAGGCAGATCGTGCCAGTGCCTTCATCAGTGGAGCTGTATACATACCTGGTCCAGGATTTGTAGAAGGTGATAGAGGAAATGTTGCAGAAGCTAGAATTGCAGGCACAACTGGTGCCTCAGGCAACAGGTTAAGCCAGTATCAGCGGCAGTGCTAATATGACCCTATATCAATGGTGGTATCAGTTGACCTATAACAGTCGGGGTGATATGTCACCTCCAAGGGGACAAAAATTGGTTTTGTGGGGGGTGGGGAAAAATTCCTATGAACATGATTCTTGGTCTTCAGTGGCGTAACTCTACTTGACAAAATCTTGTTACTTAGTATTTAATTTCAAAAGGAGGGAGAGGAAATTAGGGGAAAATATTTGAAAGACTTATATGGAAGGCAATGATTTAAAAAAATGTTGAGAAACAGTTCTTACACTAACCCTTAAATGTAAACATGGAGATTGCTTTCACTTCCACTTCCAAATCTCATTCAGATTTGTACAACAGCCAGTTGTAAATTGACATGACAACAAGTCTCCATATTTGTGCATTATAAAGTTCAATATTTCTCATGTGTCTATACCACATTGAAAACATCTTATCTTTTGGGACATTAATGTTAAATTCATATCTATACTCTGAGCTAGTTGTCTGACACTGGGCAGATTATGTAATGTTCACAATCACAAAATGACTATTATATTGTTTTCCCTGCTGCTGCTGTGAAGTTTAAATGAGTTGCCTCAAGGGAAAGCACATGATCTAAAGTGACAGCAAGGTGAGTAAATGTTTACAGCTAATACATTACCATGTTCCATATAATATCAAACATAGACCTTCAATATCATTTATGTATTGGTAAGGATGCTGGACATTTGGACATTCATAAGTTTTTATCATTTAATACAATTTTTTACTTTACAGTTGTGAAAAGTTATATAAATAGGTGAGGTAATTCACTTAGCAGGTCAATGGCTAAATTCTAGCTATCTCCCATACTTCTAAAGTCTCAATCTAGTTTTTTCTTCAATTTCATAATCTGCCTCCTTTAAGATTATAAATCACTAATTTTTTAAATTAATGTTTTTCTTATTTAGTATGTTGAGAAAATATTTTCATTAGATGTTGGACAAATGGACAAAACATGAGGGGTGGCAAGTCTGGTGCTGAGAAAAAAAATGTGAAGTAAGAACGGGATTCCTCTGATCCAGGATCACAGCTTAGTAACCCATGAACTGTTCCAAATTACTTCCCCTCTTTAACTTCTGTTCACTTATGTAAAGTATGTTCAAAATAGTGAGATGAGGAAGGTCGATATTTAAGTCAGTGACTGACACAAAGTAAGATCTAAACAAACTTAGCTATTACTCTTGTTTTTACTCCTATGAAGTTTAAACATCAGTGTGCTAATGGCAGCAAAACATACTTGCTTGATGAGAACCTCGGGAGCACAGTTTTACTTGAGTCAGTTTAAAGAAGAAGTAATCTTATGCAAAAAGTCATGTCCTCTGTGAATTTCCTGAACTCTAGAGATACAACAGCTAAATTCAGAGAGCCAGTAGTGCAAGACATTTGAAAGCCAGTGGAGCATGAGGCTGGACAAGATGCATTGTTATGTGAAAGGCTGGCTGCGGCAGATATCAGTTGAGAAATTATTATTCAGGCTGAATGATCCATATGATATTGCATTGCATTATCCTGAGAAGGTCTTGCCAAAATAGATTTTGTTACAGGACTCAGAAAAATTAATACTACACACTAGAAGATGTGGAATATTTATAAGGATAGAATTTAGAATTCTTTCACAGTGATCAGGTGTTCTATAACTCACCGAAAGTGACTTACTGGATGAAAGACACTTGTCTGTGGATTAGCCCACTCTTGCACTGCTGTAAACAAATATCTGAGACTAGGTAATTTGTAACGAAAAGGGGTTTAATTGGCTCATGGATCCACAGGCTATACATGAAGCATGATGGTGGCATCTGCTTGGCTTTTGAGGAAGCCTTAGGAAACCTATAATCATGGTGGAAGGTGAAGAGAGAGCCAGCACTTCATATGGCTAGAGCAGGAGGAAAGAGGGTCAGGAGGTGCCACACACTTTTAAATGACCTAATCTCATGAGAACTCACTCATTATCAGGAGAACAGCACCAATGGGGAAATCCATCCCCATAAGCCAATCACCTCCCACCAGGCCCCATCTCCAACACTGGGGATTACAGTCTACATGAGATTTGGATTGGGGACACAGATCCAAATCATATCAGTTTGTTAGTTTTGTTTTAGATTTCTCATGGCAATCGTACTATATTACTCCTTAATGATGCTAATAGCTTCTTTTGCTT
Source organism: Homo sapiens (assembly GCF_000001405.40). NCBI lineage: Eukaryota > Metazoa > Chordata > Mammalia > Primates > Hominidae > Homo > Homo sapiens. The sequence continues at coordinate 82,207,734 of NC_000003.12, forward strand.
GCATTAGCACTTTTATTGGAGAAAGAGAAATAAAAGAGATTCTGTGCTTCAGCAGTATCTAAATCAAAACTTGTCTTAATTTTTTTAAATGCCAAGGTTTCCAATTCCATTTCATAACTTCTGGTACCCCAGACATATAAGACTGCATTTAGGAATCTTAATACTTTCTAGAGCTACAATTATTATAAGAGGAGTTATGTATTTATATTAATATTCATAATAGTTGTTTATTAGTCTGTTCTCATGCTGCTAATAAAGACATAACGGAGACAGTGATTTATAGGGGAATTGGGTTTAACTGACTTACAGTTCCACATGGATGGGGAGGCCTCATAATCATGGCAAAAGGTGAATGAGGAGCAAAATCACGTCTTACACGGCTACAGGCAAGAGAGCTTGTGCAGGGGAACTCCCACTTATAAAACCATCAGATCTTATGAGACTTAATCACTACCATGAGAACAGCATGGAGGAAACCATCCCTATGATTCAATTATCTCCACCTGGCTCCCTCTTTGACACATGGGGATTATTACAATTCAAGGTGATATTTGGGTGGGGACACAGCCACACCATATCAAGTTGAATATAAAAAAGTGTGGGGAGGTAAATTCAATTTCTCCAGTGTCATATAGAAAGAGGGCAGCGTTTAAACCTAGGAATGTTTGGCTCCAGACCCCACATATCTGCAACCTTAACACACTATTCATTCTTAAAATTCTTTCAAACTTACATAGACTATTCTGATTGACTTCCCCTTTTCTTTTCTAAGTAAGTCTTGGTTCAAAGCTTTCTAGCATTGCTTTTCGTGCTTAACTTCTCCTTTCCTATGGGCAGTGTTCAAAATTATCCTTAATTACTATTGAGTATATGAATATCATGTCTAGAAAATACTAGTGGCTCCTAGAGTGTCAGTCCACCACAGATGGTCTTGGTTTATGCCTGTTGTCTAAGTGTACTGTGTTTTAGGATTTTTCCTGAATTGTTTTCTGAATTAGGACTTTTGCTGAATTGTTCATTTTTTAAACAATACATTATTATTATTATTACATTGTTGCATTAAAATAAACTAAGATGGGCTTGTGAGACATTCACCATGTACTTCCAGCCTTTGCCATATTTTTATTTAGATAGGCTGAGTGGTCATGTTATAGTCGTGTAGAGAATAATCTGATTGCTGTCACCAAAATCTATGAAGGTATGAATCTATACCTATTAATATTAATTTTAGTTATACTTTTCATTTTGTAATAATCTCATTTGCCATAAGAAAGTAATAAGAAAAAAGTGAATTTTTACAATGCAAGAAAAAGAAGCTCTGATGATGAAAAATTAACTTGCGCAAAATGCATCTCAACATTTGCAATCCAATATGAGGAGTATGGTGTCCACATGACAACGCGAAGATGAATCTGTTAAAGTGTAAGATTCTCCTTCAAAAAATAGTTATTTCAGAAGAATGCGCCTGGAGATGACGATTTAAAACATGCAGCTGTGTAGGCTGTGTTTACTCATCATTTCTGAAGCATGGTATTTCATTTAGTTGAAAGACTGTTCTTCTAAATTAATTTTGTTACTTGTTGATGCTAAATTTTCTTGGTTCAGATAAAAAGTGAAGCTTTAACTGTTACTGGGTTGACTTCATTAGCAGAAAAAAATCTTTGAAAAGAGTTAAATAATGGAGGCTTTATGTCAATGTTACCTGATGTTTCAAAAATATTATCAGTTAATTCCTCTCAGAGGCCATGACTGTCATGGGGAACGTTGCTCTTTCCCCTCGAGAGAACCTGCCATAAGGGTCAGAGTTGAATCTATACTTCTTCAGATCCACTGTGAGATGAATGCTGCAGCCATGTTTCCCCCCAACCTCTTCCAGCCAATGTCTTAGCATGGCAGTGGTACTACAGCCAGACAATTTGTGCTCAATACCAGACAACTCTATTGGTTAATATTTGCTGGAGGATTCCCCAATGGCCTGGATGAAAGTATCTCAGAACTGCATTATACACTTCAGCTCTTTCTTCCCATTCCTTCTTCTGTAACACCTGACTTTCACAGGTGTGGTCTGAAAGCTCACCCTGCCTTCCGTTAATATTTGCCTTTTGTCCTTCATTGGTGTTTCCCAATAATTCTCTTGCACATCTATACTATTTTGGCTTCTGCTTCTCAGAGGACCTGAGCTGACACAGACAAGATACCTACCAATCGAAATAGAAATTGCAGCTGTGAAATAATTATTTTTATACATTCACAGAATAACTGAGTTACGACATGTTTGTGGAAAGCTGATTTTTTTTTTTTTTAAACCTCTCCTCATGTAGCAATCTGTGCTTTCTCTGCTAGGTATTCATTATAATTTTAGAATTATTTGTGACCTTGAAATTCTATAATTTTGCTTTAGAATATCTCAACTTGTTGGAAAAATATTTTGATAGAGTTTCTGTTTTATTAGGATAAACCTATATCCAGTACAAAAATGAGATTAAGTTGAGAAGGCCTATAATTTTTCAGTTTCTGAATTCAGTAAAATAGCCAAAGAATTATAAATAATGATAACCTATTTGACAAATTTTGCCTTGCAAAAATATTTGTCAAAAAATATTACTTTTAATGAAACAAAAAAGATGATTTATAGGAGAACACTTGGGCTGAAATATTTATACATTTCCACATAAAAATTAGAATAAAGAACATCCTGCATTTAACAGAATTTGCTGTAAGCTTTCTAGATACTTTGATGATCATAACCAATTTAATTAAAAATATTGAACTTGAGATAATACTGAAAATATATATATTTTAAAACTATATAGTAGCAGAGTATAGGAATATGGTGAATGTAGGTGATTTTGTAGTATCTTCCTGACTGGTTGTTTCTTGCCTATAATGGATTAAACTGGAAATCATGGAATGAAGGTGACTCCCCTTTATTTTCTCCCATCTGGGATATCTTGCCAGGTCAATTTTCAATACGTATTTTAAATCTGTATATACTACAAACGTCCTAATCTAAACTGCCATCAAGTTTCACATGGATTCTTGCAGCCAATTCCTAACTGGTTTTCTAGTTTCCAGCACATTCACCATTTAGCCTAGTTCAACCCACTTCAAAGACTGAAAATTGATGGCTGATTGTTTTTATATTTTTTCAGTATTTTTCTTTTTTCTTTTTTTTAAATTTGAGACAGAGTCTCACTCCGTCCCCAAGGCTAGAGTGCAATGGTGTGATCTCAGCTCACTGCAAACTCTGCTTCCCAGGTTCAAGTGATTCTCCTGCCTCAGCCTCTAGAGTAGCTGAGATTACAGGTGCCCACCACCACATCCAGCTGATTTTCATAACTTTAGAAGAGATGGGTTTTGCCATGTTGGCCAGGCCGGTCTTGAACTCCTGAACTCAAGTGATCTGCCTGCCAATCCCAAAGTGCTTGGGATTACAGGTGTTAGCCACTGCATCTAGCCTTTTTTAGTCTTCTGCTCCAAATAATCCAATGGCTTCCCATGTCAGTATAAATTCCATAGTGCTTGCAGTGGCCTATAAAGACCTTACATTTGAAACTGACCCAATGTAGTCCCATAGACAGTTTTTTTGGACATAGAAATTGGCCTTTCTGTTCAATTTCTTAAAGCTTGAAACTTACCTTTGCTTCACCTGACATCCTTCCTCAGCACCCTTGGGCCTCTCAACTGAGCCTCTCAAAGAAAGTATCAAAGAACTAAAACTCACCAGATCATCACATTCGGACAATGATGTCAGACCCCTCATTCATCATGATTGGTTCCTCACCCCTCCCTAGTTCCTGTTTTCCTACACATTATTACATTTCTTTCCTGCTGTATAAATCTCTCATTTTAGTCAGTCAGGGAGGTGGATTTGACACTGATCTCCCATCTCCTCAGCTACAGCACCCAATTAGAGACTTCTTTGACAATAATAGTTGTCTCAGTGATTGGCTTTCTGTGCAGTGACCAGCAGGTCCTAGACCAAACTCCTGGTGTTTTGGTAACACGTTATCTCCCCACTCCAAATTCCTGACATCACTTTTTACTATTCCCTGGCCTCCATGCTCAATGTGCTACAGTTGCATGGCCTTCTTAATATTCCTCAAATTTGTCAAGTAAACTCTCCTTCTAGGCCTCAAACCTAGTCCTTCTGTTTAAAATACTCTTCTCCCACATAGCTACGTAGCTTCATATTTACTAAGTTAGGGTTTTTAATCAGAGTTCACCACTAGCCACCCAATCTAGAAATCTTTTACTTTGTGTCCCTTTAGCCTGCTTTTTTTTTTCCATAAATTTTATCATTGCCTAATGTAAGTATATACATTTTATGTGTTAATTTTCTAGGCTCCTCTTTGTAAAATGTAAGTTTTAAGAAGGCAGAAATGTTTTGTTCACTGCTGTGTCACCAGAATTTTGATTAGTGTCTGTCCAGAGTAGGAATTTGATCAGTATTAATTGAACTGAGTGACTGAATCATAGTTCTAATCGTGTACTCCAAGGACTTCCTTCAGTTTTCCTCTATAGTAATTGTCCTTTATGCCTGCATCAGAATCTTATGAATTTAAATAGGTATTGAGAGAAAATTTTCATGTTTCTTGCTTTCCTGCACATCTTCTGAGCAGAGTCACTGATTACCTTTGTTCTAGATTAGGTTTTCAAGAATATTTATAAACAGCCTTGGAGGATAGAAGTCATGTCTCTGTCAGAGACAGAAAAGATTTCTTTCCCAACAGAATAATAAAGATATATTGTCTTTGGGGAAAATATAGGCAAACCCTCTGTCCATTATAAACAATTGGGGCTCCTTAAACTCGGGGTTTCTCACCTTTAACACAAACCAATGAAGGTGCAGTATCACCTGGCCGTTTTTGTGTTGCTCTGTGGATATTGTGGTTTGGAGAACTGGTGCAAATATTGGTGCTCTGATTATGGTTATTGATGTGAGTAATAAAGTCCTTTGTATATGAAGGAGTCTTCTGGCTTACATGAAACATTTGCATGCTAATTTGTTAGCTTGCAAATATGGTTGTGTACAGTGTAACAGTGTTTCGGCCAACAACAGACCACATATACAAAGGTGGTCCGTAAGATTGTAATGGAGCTGAAAAATTCTTGTAGCCTAGTCACTCTGTAGCACAATGCATTACTCATGTGTTTGTGATGATATTGATGTAAACAAACCTACTGCACTGCCAGTCATGTTAATGTATGGCACATACAACTATGCACAGTACATAACAATAATGATAATAAACAACTATGTTACTGGTTTATGTATTTACAATATTATACATTTTATCATTATTTTAGAATGTACTCTTTCTACTTATAAAAAAAAAACAAACTGTGTAACCTCTTCTGGAGGCTTTCCAGAAGAGCCATTGTTATCATAGGAGATGACAGCTCCATGCGTGTTGTTACCCCTGAAGATCTTCCAATGGGACAAGAGGTGGAGGTAAGAGACAGTGGTATTGATGATCCTGACTTTGTGTAGGCCTAGGCTAATGTGTGTGTTTTGTCTTTGTTTTTAAAAAAATTTTTTTCATTTAAAAAATTAACAATAGAAAAAAGATTACAGATTAAAGGTATAAATAAATACAATATATTTGTACATCTGAACAATTTCTTAAAGCTAAGTGTTATTACAAGAATCAAAAAGTTAAAAAATAGTTTATAAATTAAAGATGTTACCATATGCTAAGGTTAATGCTGTTATTGAAGGAATCATTTTTTACAATAAATGTAGTATAGTCTAAGTGTACAGTGTTTATAAAGTCTATAGCAGTGTGTAGTAATTTCCTAAGCCCTCATAGTCACTCACCACTCACTCACTGACCCACCCAGAGCAAATTCCAGCCCTGCAAGCTTCATTCGTGATAAGTGCCCTATACAACAGTATCATTTTTTATCTTTTACATCATATTTCTTACTGTACCTTTTTATGTTTAGATACACAAATACTTTTCATTGTATTAGAATTGCCTACATCATCCAGTATAGTAAAATGCTGTACAGTTTGTAGCCTAGGAGCAATAGGCTATCCCAAGTAGCCTGGGCGCGTAGTAGGCTATACCATCTAGATTGTATAAGTACTCTATGATGTTTACGCAATGACAAAATCACTTAATGACTCATTTCTCAGAATGTATCCCCCTCATTAAACTATAAATTAATTCAGATTAAAATCTCAGACCCTTCCACTTCTTGAAAATATGCTACGGTCATTATCAGCTGCAATTTTTTTTTACATTTTAGAACTAATAAGATTATATCCTTAATTATTTGCATCTATCTAGAACAAACACATTCTGAGTATTAATCATTGTGATCTAAGTACTTGGGCTAGGACCACTCAGGAAATACAAAATTGAGCAATACACAATCTATTCCTCACAGGTAAACATATATTATAAACAGATATATGTACACAAACAAATGATACAAATTGGTTATAAACAATAGGAAGATTAGGGCTGATGAAGGGACAAGAGGAATTCTTGAGGACAAAAAACCGAGGTGGGCCTGCAAGAATGAATTCAATGTTATCAGAGCAAGTAAGGGAAAGGGAGAGATATTCCAGTACACTGACAATGGAGTTAGTCTTGTTTTACTACAGCCTGGTGTGCATGCCAAAGATCCCTGAGAGTCTATAAAAGGGTAGAATCAAAGAATAATACACTTTAAAATTAGAAGTCAGAGTTACATTGTAAATGATTCTATAGGATATTTATAGAGTTAGGAATGAATACTAGAAATTCATGAAATAGTGTATGTGTGCGTGTGTGTGTGTGTGTGTGTGTGTGTGTATGTATGTATGTATGACTTTTCTCCAAAAATGTTTTTTTCTTTTGTTTTTAAATGGAGATGAAAAAATCATCTCTGTTTTATTGAGGCCTTTTGGGAGAAGAGAAAAAAACTAAAGGCAGCTGTGTTTTGCAATAATTTACGTAAAATGTGATAAGAACTCACATTCAAGAGATATCTTAGTTGTAGAGTGAGGCACCTGTGCTTAATAATTCGGTCTCAAAACATGAAGAAAATGAAAATTTGAAGATAATTAGAAGCTTTCAACTTGAGAACATGAAAAGTTTCTCAGGACCTCACCATGGAAGTTTATAATAAGAGCAGCATTTTTTTTTTTTCTTTTGATAGAGTCTTGCTCTGTCGCCCAGGCTGGAGTGCAGTGGCATGATCTTGGCTCACTGCAACCTCCACCTCCCAGGTTCAAGTGATTCTCCTGCCTCTGCCTCCCGAGTAGCTGGGACTACAGGCACTTGCCACCACGCCTGGCAATTTTTTTTGTATTTTTAGTAGAGATGGGGTTTCACTGTGTTAGCCAGGATGGTCTTGATCTCCTGACCTCATGATCTGCCCTCCTCACCTCCCAAAGTGCTGGGATTACAGGCATGAGCCACCGTGCCCGCCAAGAGCAGCATGTTTTTAAAGAGAAGATAATGAGCTTACTGATGGACATACGGAATTACAGGTGTTGCCAAGGATCAAGGGAGCAATACTGAGCAGACCTTTACGAATGGGATTCTGGAGCTCAGATTAAAGTTGGGAGTTACACATATAAAGTATAAAATTGAGTTATTGTTGACTATTAATTTCATTTTTATTCTTAATTATTTTTGTATTTTAATTTTTGATTTAAAAAATATAATTTGGGGGGTACAAGCGCAGCTTTCTCACATATATTGCATGGTGTGAAGTCAAAGCTTTCAGTGTACCCAAAGGATAGTTTTTCAGCTCTTATCCTCCTTCCACCTTCTCACCTTTTGTAGTCTTCAATGTCTATTTTTCTACTCTGTATGTCTGTGTGTACCTATTATTTAGTTCCCACTTAAAAGTGAGAACTTGAGACATTTTTCTTTCTGTTTCCAAATTATTCAACTTAGGATAATAGCCTCCAGTTCCATCTACAACATAGCTGCAAAATACATTATTTTATTCTTTTTTTATGGCAGAGTAGTAGTTTATATTGTGCGTGTGTGTGTATATACAGAGTGTGTATATATAGATGCTTATATAGAGATGCAGGATGTGTGTGTATATATGTATACAAACATAAAATACTACTCACATGTGTATATATATATACACACACGTATACAAATGCAATGTGTATGTATACACACACACACAACATTTTCTTTATTCAGTCATCCACTGATGGACAGTTTGATTCCATATCTTCACTAATGTGAATAGAGCTGTGATAAACATACAATTGCAGGTATCTTTTTGATACAATGATTTCTTTCTGTTTGTGCATGTACTCAATAGTGGGATTGCTGGATTGAATGGCAGTTCTATTTTTGATTCTTTCAGAAATCTTCCTACTGTTTTCCATAAAGGCTTTACTATAGTTTACATTCCCATCAATGGTGTGTGAGTATTCCCTTTTCTCTACATCCTCGCCAACATCAGTTGTTTTTTTTTTTTTTTTTTTTTTTTTGAGACGGAGTCCCGCTCTTTAGCCCAGGCCGGATTGCAGTGGCACAATCTTGGCTCACTGCAAGCTCCGCCTCCCAGGTTCACGCCATTCTCCTGCCTCAGCCTCCCGAGTAGCTGGGACTACAGGCGCCCGCCACTGCGCCCGGCTAATTTTTTGTATTTTTAGTAGAGACGGGGTTTCACCGTGTTAGCCAAGATGGTCTCGATCTCCTGACCTTGTGATCCGCCCGCCTCGGCCTCCCAAAGTGCTGGGATTACAGGCGTGAGCCACCGCGCCCAGCCCATCAGTTGTTTTACAACTTTTTAATAGTAGCCATTCTGACTGGTGTGAGATGGTATCTCATTGTGGTTTTAATTTTCATTTCTCTGATGATTAGTGATATTAGTATTTTTATATGTTTTCTGGCCACTTGCATGTCTTCTTTTAAAATATGTCTGTTCATGTCCTTTGCCCACTTTTTAATGGGCAAAGTTGTTTGAGTTTGAGTTGTTTGAGTTCCTTGAAAATTCTGAATATTAGCCCTTTGTTGGATGCATCATTTGCAAATATTTTTTCCAATTTCATAGGTTGTTTTCTCTGTTGATTGTTTCTTTTGCTGCACAGAAGCTTCTTAGTTTAATTGTTTCATTTGTTTATTTTTGTTTTTACTATATTTGCTTTTGATTACTTAGTGATAAATTCTTTACCAAGGCTAGTGTCCAGAAGAGTTTTTCCTAGGTTTTCTTCTAGGGTTTTCAAAGTTTCAGGTCTTAAGTTTAAGCCTTTAAATCCCATCTTGTGTTAATTTTTGTACATGGTGAGAGCTCGAGATCAGTGGTTTTAAATGTCTGGGGTTAAATGTTTTGAACTGTCATTTAAAAATCTTTGTGCTTTTATATTATAGTCAAACATTGTAGCCTGTGTATGTGTTTGCCATTTCTAAATTTCCAGTATGATAAACTACCAACAATTTAATTTCCTGCAAACTAATATATTTGGATAATTTTTCAAAGTTTTCTTTGCAAGTGTACATAATCAGTAGAGTATTTGTTCTATGATATTTGCAAATAGTGTTTATGTCTCCTCGTCATAATATTTATATACTTATTTATTCAAATATGTATATAGATTCAAATCTACTATATAAGACTTCTGTGTAAACATCATATATTAAACACAAACATTTACTTGATTCTAACTGTCCAACAAAGAGATTTATTTTACATTATTGATCCAGAAGAAAGGATATGTAGACTACAAGAAAAAGTGGTGGCTAATGAGAACTTTCAACCGGACAGCAGTAAATAGGAGTGAAAGATTGGAAAAGCCAAGACACAAAACCATTTGTGTTGCAGAGTTGAGGAAAGGCTCTAAAATCAAAAGCATGAGATTCCTCTTGTGGCTGGTGAATGATTGAAGTGAGGAAAGAGAAGCACTGCTGGAATTGAAGAATTGGTTAAAGCAATACATGAGAAGTTGGTTGGGCTTTGGATAACCATCACCACACAACGCAGCCAGGAAATTATTCTCTCCTCAGTCTAAGAGGATCCATGGCGTTTACTCTCTGAAGACGTTGAATCAGACTGCCTGGGAATTAAGTGACAGGAGGCTGAGTTTGTGGGGATGTCTTATGCCTTACTGAAACTGATGGGATAAGTGGAAATCTGCTTGATGAAAGGTGAGATCACATATTTTCTCCTTTGGACTCTGAGATCACCAGCATTTCCGAGGCAATCAGTTTCACTCATGCAGGTGAAATGGCAATCATGTCTCTGGAGCCTCCTTATCATATGGGAAGGGCCATTCAGAGATCACCAGAAACTTTGAGGAAAATATCTAAAAATAAGATAATAAGACATATACTGATTTTTATAGATTCATTATTTTTTTCCTACTTAATTTGTCAGGTTCTGGGAATGATGTCTCAAAACTTCTAAGAGAAAATTGATGGACTGTTAAAATATTTTTCTTTATGCTGTGAATTCAATTAATTCTTATTTTTTTTCTGGTTATCTGTTTTATACTATGTTTGATTATCTGATTAAGATTGACAATATTGTGAAGAAAAACAAGTAGTGTTCTGCCTTAAATTAATTTAACGCATTTGGATAAAATACAGAGATGATCATACTTTGCTATTTTACTCTTCGATTACAGATATAATAAACAAAATTAAATGAATATAATATACAAAACAAACACAAAGCAAAAGAAGGTAGCTGCTATTTATGTGCTGACTGACTTACTTGGTTTCCCAAGAAATGGAGGACTAATTTAGAATAAAATTACAGATGTGAGAGTAAAGCAGAATTTTAGTGTTAATGGTACAAGATAGTTATTTTAAAATTTTGCTAATTTTAGACACATTTATTTTACTACATTTATTTTTCATTACAAAAACTTTTAGCCCAAATTTGTTTTCAAAATTTGATCTCATTTATAAAGATGAGTACAGTCCATTTAAGAATATTTAAATAGCCTACTGTACAGCTTTGTAATAGGAAAATATATCATCTATGTTTTACACCAAAGCTTATTCTATTTTAAAATAAGTCTGTTTTTATAAAGGTGACATGATATGTATATATTTTTAAATTAATATACTTTATTTTTTGAAGTCATTTTAGATTACAGAAGAACTGAGTTGAAAGCACACAGAATTCTCACATACCTCTGCACCATCTTCTGCTCCTGCCTCCAGTTTCTTCTATTATTAACATCTTGAATGAGAGTTGCACATTTGTGTAATTGGTGAAACAATGTTGATACATTAGTATTAACTAACATCCATAGTTTATGCTGTTTCAGTCTTTGCGTTATAATTTCTATAGATTTTTGACAAACCTATGATGACATGTGTCCTCCATCATAGTATCATATACAGTAGTTTCACTGCCCTAAAAATACCCTGTGTTCCACCTGTTTATTCCTTCTTCCCTTTCAAACCCTTGTTAACTATTGATTTTTTTTGGATCTTTCTGATTTTCTCTTTTATGGAACATCATTTACTTGGAATCATACATTATGTAGTCTCTTCAGATTGGCCTATTTCACATAGTAATATGCATTTAAAGTTCCTATATATTATTTAGTGGCTTGATAGTTCCTTTCTCTTTTTTTGGCAGCTTGTATTCTAGATTCTGGAAGTATTTATGCAGGCTTGTTACATGGGTATATTGCACCCAGGTAGTGAGCATAGTACCCAATAGGTAGTTTTTCATTCCACACCCCCTTTCCTTCCTCCCCCTTCTAGTAGTCCTCAATGTCTATTGTTGCCATCATTATATCTATGTGTGCTCAGTATTTAGCTCCCAGTTATAAGTGAGACATGTGCTATTTGGTTTTCTGCTCCTGAATTAATTAACTTAGGTTTATGCCTCCAGCTACAAACACATTGATGCAAAGGACATGATTTTTTTTTTTTTTTTTCAGTAACACAGTATTCCGTGGTGTATGTTTTCTTTATCCAGTTTACGATTTACCATCCACATTTTCTTTATCCAGTTTACCACTGATGAGTACCTAGGCTGATTATATGTCTTTACTGTTGTGACTAGTGTGATGATAAACATATGAGTACATCTGTCTTTTTGGTATTCTGATCTGTTTTCCTTTGGGTATTATACTGGGTAATGTGATTGCTGGTCAAATGGTAGCACTGTTTGGAGTTCTTTGCAAAATCTCCAAACTACTTTCCACAGTGGCTGAATAAATTTACATTCCCCCAACAGTGTATAAGGGTTCTCTGTTCTCTGCATCTTTGTCAGCATCTGTTGTTTTTTGACTTTTTAGTAACAGCCATTCTGGCTGGTATGAGATTATATCTCATTGTGGGTTATAATTTGCATTTTTCTGATAATTACTGATGATGAACACTTGTTTAAATATTTGTTGGCTACTTCTATTTCTTTTGAAAAGTGTGTGTTCATGTCCTTTTCCCTTTTATTAATGGGATTATTTGGTTTTTGCTTGTTGAGTTGTTTGAGTTCCTGATAGATTCTGGATATTAGCCCTTTGTCAGATGCATAGTTTGCAAATGTTTTCTCCCATTCTGTAGGTTATCCATACACTCTATTGATAGCTTCTTTCACTGTGCACAAGCTCTTTAGTTTGATTAGGTCACATTTGTCAATTTTTGCTTTTGTTGCAATTGTTTTAGGGGATTTAGCCAAAAATTTTGCCAAGGCTGATGATGAAAACGGTATTTCCTAGGTTTTATTCTAGAAAGGTGATAGTTTGAATTCTTAAATTTAAATCTTTAATTCATCTTAATTTTTGTATATGGTGAAAGGTAAGGGTCCAGTTTCCTTCTTCTGCATATGGCTAGCCAGTTATCCTAGCAACATTTATTGAACAGGGAGTCCTTTACTCATTGCTTCTATTTGTTGGCCTTGCTGGAAATCGGATGGCTGTAGGTGTGCAGCTTTATTTCTGAGTTTTCTATTCTGTTCCATTTTCCTATGTGTCTATCTTTGTACCAGTACCATGCTGTTTTCATTACTATATCCTTAGAGTTTAGTTTGAAGTCAGGTAGTGTGATGACTCCACTTTGTTCTTTTTGCTTAGGATTGCTTTGTCTTTTCAGGTTATTTTTGCTTCCGTATGAATTTTAGAATAGCTATTTTCTAACTATGAAGAATGACATTGGTAAATAGATAGGAACAATATTGAATCTGTAAATTGCTTGGAGCATTATGGCCATTTTAATGATATTGATTCCTCCAATACGTGATTATGGAATGTTTTTCCATTTATTTGTGTCTTCTCTGATTTACTTAGGCAGTGTTTGGTAGTTTTCCTTATAGAGATCTTTCATCTCTTTGGTTAGCTGAATTTCTAGGTATTTCATTTTCTTTGTGGCTGTTGTAAATGGGATTTCATTATTGATTTTACTCTCAATCTGGACATTATTGGCGTATAGAAATGCTACTAATTTTTGTACATTGATTTTATATTGTGAAACTTTTGCTAAAGTCATTTATCAGTTGTAGTAGACTTTTGATGGAGTCTATAGGGATTTCTAGGTATAAAATAATATCATCATCACAGAGGGACAGTCAGGCTTCTTCTATTGGAATGTGTTTTCTTTCTTTCTCTTGCATGATTGCTTTGACTACAGCTTCAAGAACTAAGTTGAACAGGAGTGGTGAGAGTGAGCATCCTTGTCTTATTCTAGTTCCTAATAGAAATGGTTCCAGCCTTTGCCCGTTCAGTATGTTGTTGACTGTTGGAGTTTTATAGATGGCTTTTATTATTTTGAGGTATGGTCCTTCAATGCTAGTTTATTGAGGGTTTTTATCATGAATGGATGTTGGATTTTATCAGATTAATTTTCTGCATATATTGTGATGATTATGTGGTTCTTATTTTTAATTCTGTTGATGTGGTGAATCACATTTATTGATTTGCATATGTTGAACCAACCTCGCATTCCAGGAATAAAGCCTACTTGATTGTGGTGTGCTAATTTTTTTGCTAGATTTAGTGTTGCTATATTTAGTTTGCTAGTATTTCGTCGAGTATTTTTACATCTAGGTTCATTAGGGATATTCACCTGAAGTTTTCATTTTTCATTGTGTGTCTGGCAGATTTGGGTTATTAGGCAGATGCTGGCTTCATAGAATGAGTTAGGAGGAGCCCTTCTTCCTGAATTTTTTGGAATACTTTCAATAAGATTGGTACCAGGTCTTCTTTGCACATCTGGTAAAATTCAGCTGTGAATCATCTGCTCCAGGGCTTTTATGGTTCGTAGATTTTTTATATATCAGATTCAATTTCAGATCTCAATATTGGTATATTCAGGGTTTCAGTCTGTTTCTGATTCAGTCTGGGGAGATTGTATATTTCTCAGAATTTATCTATTTTCTCTAGATTTTCTAATTTATGTACATAGAGTAGTTCATAATATTCTCTGAAGATCTTTTGTATTCCTGTGGGATCAGCTGTAGTGTCATCTTTATCATTTCTGATTGTACTTATTTGGATCTTTTCTTTTTTTATTAATTTAGCTAGCCATTTATCAAACATTTTTGTTTTTAAAGAATTGACTGTTGGTTTCTTTGATTTTTTTATGAATTTTTTTGCATCTCAATTTTATTCACTTCTCTAATTTTAGTCATTTCTTTTCTTTGACTGGCTTTTAGGTTGGTTTGTTATTTTTTTCCTGGTTCTTTTAGGTTCAGAGTTAGATTAATTTGAAATCTTTCTAAGTTTTTGATGAAGGCATTTACCACTGTGAACTTTACTCTTTACACTGCTTTACCTGTATCCCAGAGATTTTGTTAAGTTTTGTCTCTATTTTTATTTAATTCAAAGAATTTTTTTTACTTTTGCCTTAATGTCAATATTTACCCAGGAATTATTCCAGGAGTCAGTTGTTTAATTTCCATGTGTACTTTTGAGAGATCTTGATATTGATTTCTATTTTTACTGCACTGCTGTCCAAGAGTGTGCTTGGAATGCTTTTGAATTCTTTGCATTTATATACTTGCTTTATCACTGAGCATGCGGTCAATTTTAGATTATGTTCCATGTGCAGATGAGAAGAATGTATATTTGGTGGTTGATGGGTAGAGTGTTCTGTAGGTATCTATTAGGTTTAATTGGTAAAGTGTAAAGTTTAAATCCAGAGTTTGTTAGCTTTTCTCCTCAATGATCTGTCTAATGCTGTCAGTGATGTGTTGAAGTCCTCTACTATTATCATTTGGCTAAGACATTTCCTAGTTCAAAAGCACTTGCTTTATAAATCTAGGTGCTCCAGTGTTGGGTGCATATAAATTTAGGATAGATAGTTAAGTCCTCTTGTTGGATTGTACTCTTTATCATTATGCAATGTCCTTCTTTCTTCTTCTTGTTATAGGTTTAAAATTCATTTTATCTGATATAAAAATACAGATTCGTGCTATTTTTTTGTTTTCCATTTGCGTGACAGATCTGACTCCATCTGCTTTGAACCTGTTGGTGTTGCTACATGTTAGTTGGGTCTTTTGCAACCAGCAGACAGTTGGGTCTTATCTTTTTATCCATATTGTCACTTTATGTCTTTTAAAAGGGGCATTTAGCCCATTTACATTCAGGGTTAGTACTGATATTGATATATGAGATTTTTGATCCTGTTGCTGTGTTGTTAGCTGGTTGTTATGTAGACTCAATTGTGTAATTGCTTTATAGTTCCTGTGAGCTCTGTGCTTAAGTGTGTTTTTGTGGTAGCAGATGTCAGTCTTTTGTTTCCATGTTTAGCATTCCCTTAAGGGCTTAGTTGATATGCATTCCCTTAGCTTTGGTTGTGTGATAAAGATTTTGTTTCTGTTTCACTTATGAACCATAGCTTGACAGAATATGAGATTCTTGGTTGAAATTTCTTTTTCTTTAAGGATGCTGAAAATAGGCCCCCAGTTTCTTCTGGCTTGTTAAGGTTTCCGCTGACAGGTCTGCTGCTAGCCTGTTGGGGTTGCCTCTGTACATGACTTGGCCCTTCTCTGTAGCTGCCTTTAAGACTTACTCTTTTGCATTGACCTAGGTGAAGTTGATGACTATGTGCTTTGGGAATCATTTTGGATTGTATCTACTCAGGGTCTCTGCATTTCTTGAATTTGTACATCAACTGCTCCTTTGAGATTAGGGAAACCATAATAGACTATCTTATCAAATATATTTCCCAAGTTGTTTATTCTGTCTTTCCTCTCTCAGGTGTGCTGATGAGTCGTAGATTGTTTTTCTCTTTACATAATCTCACATTTCTCAGGGGTTTTTTTTTAGTTTCTTAAAATTCTTTTTTCTTTATTTTTGCCTGATTGAGTTTATTTGAAGATTGGTCTTTGGGCTCAGAGATTCTTTCCTCAATTTGGTCTATTCTGCTGTTAATACTTTCAGTTATATTATGAAATTCTTGTAGTGAATTTTTTAACTCTAGAAGTTCAGTTTGGTTCTTTTTTAAAGTGGCAATTTTATTTTCCAGCTCTTGGATTGTTTCATTGAATTTTTTGGATCCCTTGGATTGGATTTCAACTTTCCTTTGAATCTCAATGAGTTTCTTTGCTATCCAAATTCTTTATTCTATGTCCGTCATTTTTTCATTTCTAAGTGACTAAGAACCATTGCTGGGGAGCTGGTTGATTTGTTTGGATGTAAGAGTGCGCTCTGGCTTTTCAAATTGTTAGAGTTCTTGCTATGGTTCTTTCTCACATGGGAAGATTAGTGTTTCTTTAACTATGGTGTAATTTGAGTATAGTCACTTGGATTCATTTCTGGATGTTTTCAGAGGGCCAAGGCTCTGTGCAGGATCTTTATTTTTGGCTAGAATACTGTCCTTGGTTTCACAGCAGGACAAAGTAGCAAAGTATTTTTGGTGTTCTACTTTGGGCTGCAATCTAGTAGATAGATAGCACTTAAGAGTAATGGCCAGAAGATAGGCTCTTACTCAGCCAGGTGGCTCCTTTTTATTTCCTCGTGTTTGTAGCCATGCTTTATGATGCAGTGAGAGAGGTGACCCCTCCACCAGGTTTGCTCTTGAGACTTGAGAGTGCCCCTTCTGATCAGTGGCACTGGGCCCTCGTTTTTTTAATTAGGTGTTCTGGGCTGCACGGCTCCCTCAGGCAGAGGCCATGGCAGTGAGACAGGCCACACCTTTTCTAGGCTGGCCCTGTGGAGGAAGGCAGGCCCTGCTCTCCACAGCAGCCCAGGAACCCACGTGACTCACCCCTCTAAGTGCTCTGAGAGCTTGGGCTCTTCTGTTTAAGTGTTATCCACAGATTTTGGCTTAACACTCCTAAGCTCCTTACTGCAGCCCTGGGGAAAGCTCAGGCTTTTTGTTCCTTTCCCGGCTCAGGAGCACCAAGGGTGGGGACCTTAGCAGTGGCAATGGCAGAGGCCCTGTCATTGTTTCTGGGAGCTCCACCTCAGAGAAACAGAGAACCCTTGCCCATGAAAATGATCATCCGGGGTAGGGTGGCTGCACTCTGGGCCCACAGCAGGGTCTCTGATTGGCAAAGAGCCAGGAAGACACTCTGACCTTTTCTCTGTTTGGTGGCTGCAGCATGTTGGAGGGGCAAGGTAAGCTCTCAGGCTCTGTTCTCTGCCCCATCGGGGCAGAACCACCGGGTGAGAGTGCAGCGAGGGCAGCTACCGCTGTGGGCAGTAGCAGAGAGGCTGTCAGTTGCCTCTGGAGACCACCCTGGAGACACACAAAATTGCTGCCAATGGAAATGTTCAGCTGGTGCTGGGACAGCTACCCTGCAGCCCAAGCCAAGGCCCTGCCTAGTGAAAAGCAGGGGTGTTCGAGGCTCACAAGGAAGACAGTCTGTCCTCCTCTCTGTAGATTAGCTGCTGTGTGCTGTAGGCATGCAAAAGCCATCAGGGACTTTGTTTCTTTCCCAGCCTGGGGGATGCAAGGGTGGGTACTGCTGTGGTGGCAGTGGCAGAAAGCCTGTCATTTGTCTGGGAGCTCCACTCGAGAGAAATGCAGAGCCACCACTAACTGAAGTGATCAGGTGAGGGTAAGGCAGCTGTGTTGAGGGCCCAGGCCAGGAGCCCTGCCCAGTGAGGAGTAGCAGGGGCAGGGATGGCATGGAAAACAGTCTGGCCACTGTTATACAAGGTAGCTATGGTGTGCTGGAGGCCTGTGACAGTTTTGAGGCTCTTCACTCCTCCAGCCTAAGGGAAGCAGGGGTGGAAACTGTAGGCAGACCTATTGGTTACCTCTGGGAGCTTTATCCCAGAGAAATGCAGAGCTGCAGCTGACTGGAGTACTCAGGTGTGGGTGAGGTGGCTGTGCTGGTGTCCCAGTCTGGTGGGCTTTGCCTGGTGAGGTTGGGTCTGCAGTCCTTTGGTCCCTCAGCACCATGTACATGGCCCCTAACCTAGGGGCACACAGTACAGCCTGGGCTCCCTTGTTGGTAGATCTGTGGCAGCTGGTGCTGGGGTGCCCAAGGATCCAAGGCCTGTTGGGCTCCACATGGGCCTGAGCAGCAGCTCTGCTCAGACTCCATGTAGGTCTGTGGGTGGGGGGTGGGTCAGGAGAGATCTCATATGCCCAGGATGGCAAACATTCATGGAAGAAGTTTGAGTTCCTTGGGGCTGTCACTCACTCACCCTTTCTCCAGGTAGGGAGCCTACTCTGGCTCTGAGGCAGTCCCAGGTAGGTGGCTGTACTGCCTGGCTGCCCTCTGCTCCCCATGGGTCACTGTTGCTTCCTTGGTGAATCCCAATGTGGCCTCATGGATAACCCACTTCAAGACCTAGTGTTTACTTGCCACTCTCTCCTCTCTGTAATAGTGGCACACACTAGCTGCTTCTAGTCAGCCATCATGGTGCTTCTTTATACTAATTTCATTTTAATGCTTCATTGTATAAATGTACTACAGTTTGTTTACCTGTTTACCTATTGAAGGACCTCCATGTTGCTTCCAAGTTTTGGCAATTATGAATAAAGCTGTTATAAATATCCATATGCATGTTTTTGTGCAGACATGGGTTTTCAATTCATCTGGGTAAGTATCAAGAAATACAATTGCTGAATCATATGTTAAAAGTAAGTTTACTTTTGTAAGAAACTGCCAAACTGTCATCCTAAGTGGGTTTACCATTTTGCATTCCCATCAGCGACGAATGGGAATTGATGTTACTCTACATCCTTGTCAGCATTTGGTGTTGTCAATCTTCTGGATTTTAGCCATTCTAATAAGTGTGTAGTGGTATCTCATTGTTGTATTAATTTGAAATTCCCTCATGACATATGATGTTAAACATCTTTTAGTGTGTTTATTTGCCACCTGTATATCTTCTCTGATGGGGTGTCTACTCAGATATTTTGCCAATTTTTTAATTGGTTTAATTCAAAATGTACTAGAAATCCATTGAACTATTTTAAGCAGGGAAGTTATATGAGTAGATTTCATTTTTAAAAGAATCACTTTAGCTACTGGATACTTACAAGATAAAGGCAGATAAGAGTCAAAACAAAGAGACCAGTTAGTAGGCTATTACCATAATTTAGGAAAAAAAGTGGTGGTGCCTTGCTCTCTTGTGGTGGCACTAGAAGAGAGAGATGTCTGGATTTGGGATATATTTTGAAGGATATTTGATGTTGGGTTAGATAGTAAGTATGTTGGTTATTATGATACTAGTTATTTTTTTGCATTTTTAAAAATTACAGCTTTATTAAAATATAATTAACATACCATAAAATCCACCTCCTTAAAGTATACAATTCATTGGTCCTTAGTATGTTCACAGAGATGTGCCATCATTGCCACACTCTAAATTTAGAATACTTTCTTTGCTCCAAAAAGAAACCATGTACCCCTTGGCAGTCACTCTACTTTCTCCCAACTCCTAGTCTCCTAGCACTAGGCAATACTAATCTACTTTCTGTCTCTATAGGGTTGCCTACTTTAGACATTTCACATAAGCAGAATTATACAGCATATGGTATGACACTAGTTATTATAACAAACATGCTTCATTTTGTCAGTGGCTTAAAAACTAAAGTTTTGTTTTGCCTCTGACAGACTAATGTGGCTGTTTTTGGCCTCTGTATGTTTTTTTGGGTGGGGGGTACTTTTCACGCAGTCATTTATGGAGCCAGTCTGATTGAGAACCTGCAAACATTATGTGGGTTTCATGGTTTCCCAGGCATTGACATCCAGCTGGCTGATGGGAAAAAAAAAGGATGAAGAAGGTGCACTCACTTCTTAAGCACTTTGCCCAAGAAAGCTAATGTATCACTTCTATTAACTTTTATCTAATGAAAACCAGCTGCTGTGCTCCAAGTTTTATGCAAGGAGAATAGGAAATATGGTGACTCTTTAGGCAGCCACTTTGCTATAACAACTCTGCTATGCAAAAGTGAAAAATGAATTATTAGTGGAAAGTAGGTCATCTCTGCCATGTGAGATATGAGGAAAAAAAGAGTAGTCAAATATGGTGTCAGCAGTAGGAGGTCTGTTTACTGTTTGTTGGTACACTGAGTGGGCTAGGAACACTAAAATCACAAGAATACATTTTATATGCTAATTTGAGACATCTATTAGGCATTAAGTCAGACATCAAATACGGAGTTGAGAGGAGAGATGTTATTTAAGGTGTACATTTGGGAGTAATTAGAATACAAGATATATAAAGTCATAAAACTGTATCATCTAATTTAGGAAGTACATATGAATAAGAAAGAAAAATAAATCCAAGTTTTTTTTCCATTGCCAGAAGTTTACTTGCATTCCCATTTTATACACAGTAAAATTATGGCGTGAAGTTAAATGAATTAGAAAGAAAATAATCAGAATTAGAGAGAATTAGAAAGAAAAGCTGTGTCAGTCATTATCCAATATCCTTTCTGTATCCCTTCTAGAAATGGTTGCAGACTCAAATAAATGGCTATAAGAAGAAACTAGTTTCCTCAAGTAACCTATTTGAGGTAGACATTTTAAACATTTTTTTTTTCTTTTTCCTAGCAGGGTTTCCATATTCTAATTTTTATTCCTTGGGTAGTTTCTTTCTTTGTTGTTGTTTAAACACTTCTTAGCTCTAGGGAACTACTCTGTTTTATTTTTAATTGAATCTGGGACTTTGCAAGTTTGAAAGCCACTGACTTTTTTCATTGCAGTGTTTAAGAAGAGATTGCAAAATAGTATTTGTCAGAATGTTTTGGGCTGGAAGGATGACATACAATACCCATGTGAAGTCACAGACACTGCCTCTAAACACACTTTGTTTCTTCTATCAGTTACTTCAAAACAGGATATATGGCTTTCCATGACAAATTGGAGCTTCCTAGACATGCCATGTACACATTTGCCTCTCTTCCCAAGTTTGATAACCAAGTAACCCTAAAATTTAATATAGTAGATATTTTTCTAGATTTTGAAATTCTAAATTTTATAAAATAATTTGTTAATTAATTTGTAAAATGAAAGTCTTGTTTTTAAAATAAATATGGTGCTCTCTTCAAATTACAAAATGCCATATAGTTACGCATTGTTGTGTATAAAAATTCCTCAAGTTTGGTATACTTATTCACTGCAAGTTTTTCTGTACTCATTACTCAGATAATTGTGTTTCTACCTTCTTTTCACTCAGTAAGTTTATTCTGAAGAAGAAGGATTCTGATTGTTGGGATAGATTTTGCAGGTATCTAAAGGGTTTATAGTCATTTTGCAGGGGCCATTTTGCAGGTATCTAAAGGGTTTATAGTCAGTTACTAAGATCTATAAATCTGATGTCAGAAGGTGAAAAAAATTATGAAAATTACTTGCTAAAATAATTGACAGCTAGTAGTACTTACAACACAGGTGGAGAATAAAGCTCAATTTCAAAAGCAGTCTATTCAACCTCATATTCATAGTGGTTTCACCCACTCCTTCCTTCCTTTTCCCCTAAGCACAGCTGCAAGTTTAAGTAGGAAGGCAAACGATAATCAGCCACTTCGATTGGCTGCTGAATCACAGTTGTGCCCAATTTGCCTGTTTAACTTTTTTTCTTCCTTGATTGACTGCGGTTCTTTCCTCCCCTAAATGTTCATAATGACAACATGACAGGTCAGAGCTTTTCAGTGTCAGAGACTAGCCACACAACACAGTCGCTCTCACAAAGCAAAGTGGCAAAAGTGTTATAATGCTAGCACATTTAGTTTTGCCCTATCTTATTTGTGTTAAAATTAACCACAGACATATCACAGTGCTACATTGTGAATCTAAATTCCAACTGGAAGTACGGTTGGTTTACTGATAATTTTCTGAAGGGTGTATCTGTGTGTGTGGTGTTTGTGTGCATAAGGGAGAGAGAGTTTGTAAGATTGAAAAGTTGTGAGATTTTATTTTCTTTTCGTTATAAAAAAAGAAAAGAACCTCAAAGCAAAAAGCACCCACTCATAACGAAGAATTTGACTTTCCAGGAAAACGATGAAGAATGTTCCATTCATTCGTAGTATAAATAGTAGCTCTAACCCATTTTCACCTCCTTCCTCATACTTGCAAAGCTGAAATATGTTCAGTACTTTAACTTATGATATGTCAATCCTGAAAGTGGAAAAAAAAAAGTACTATGATAAATGTAGCTACTAAAGAGGCTATATGACATTTTTAACTTTACAACATTTTTTAAAAGAGATCAAGTTTTAATGTTATAGAAGGATAGATGTTAAATGATATAAGAGGAGGATAGGACCATCACAATGGTTTAGCATATTGACCAGGAATTTCCTTTTGTTTGTGTACATGAAGTGTGTGCGTGTGCATACGCGTATATGTGAAAGAGAGAGAAAGACAGGTTGGTGAGGGGCAGAGAAATAATTTTTTGCTTTCCTTAATTTTACCAAATAAACTTTGCTTTTTGTCTTATAGTAATAGCATGCAATATTGTAATTTAAATTAGATTAAAATCTGTTTTTATATTAGATCTTGCAATGAATTCAACTCAAATAGTTATCTCCTTTTTGTTTTAACATCAATGTCTAAATTATTTTTCTTAAAAGTTTTCCCATTGTTTAATACATTTGTGTTAAAATGTCTATAACAAACATTTCAGAACTACATATTAAAGACCAAGACTAAATTCTTTTGTTCAGTATCTCTCAAACATGAAGGTGCAGACTAGGTGCTTGGGAACCTTATTGAAATGAAGATTCTAATTCAGATAATTGGAGGTGGTGCCTATGATTTTAAGTTTATCCCAGTTATATTGATGCTCACAGTACGTGGAAAAACTTTGAGTAGAAAGGCTTTATTTTGAATCAAAAATAATTTAATAACAACAATAATAATTTTATGCATATTGTATCTCCAGGGAAAATAATAGTTAACATGAAAAATTAATAATCAGGTGTACAAGACTATCAAATTTATTGAATATCGTTTAGGTAGATCATTCAGTTCCATTACTCTATTAATACTGAAATTCTGTAACTGTACTGTGAGACATTTGTCTAACATTGACTTCTTATTGGCAGATTCAATACCTGTTGACTTACGATAAATTTTAAGGTTTGCAGATTGTTGAATATGTCTGAAAGTTCTTTGAGAAGAAGAATATTAGGAAACAGCTGAAGTGCTTTTAAACTATGATACAGTCTTTTGGCATGCTAATGAATTGAACTAGAAAACTCGTTTGCATCTTAAAGCCACAAATCATAAACTGTGAATGAAAAACCAACCATGAAGGAAAAAAAATTGGTGTGTTCTGTTATAAGTTAGTATGAAAGTCTACATTTTGTCTAGTGATAAACAACACTCACTGCAGATACTTCAGGTTAGACCAGATCTGGTCTGAAAGCTTAGCAGATTGCACTCTAATGAGGGATTCTGGGGAGATGATTAGCTATAAGGACATACATATATAATAGCTCTATCATAAATCCTTTACAGAGAAAATAAAAGAGAATTTATGTAATACTGGAACATCTCTGACTATAACTCCTAAAATAATAGATGTCATAGGGTACCACAACTCAGGATGCCAAATATCACAAATGTCTTAGTCCTAAAACGAGTCTTAAATAAACCAAAGCACTGGATCTAGCATGTGCATATTGTTGCTCCATGTTTGACTTTCTGCTGCAGACATTTCCAATAACAAACTTAAATTCTTTCTTATATATCTTTATAGTTATTTGTTTATTCCTGGGCTACTACTGTAATAAGAAAGAAAAAAAAATGTGTGATTAAGCAATTTGTACATAATGCAAGTCCAAGATCAAAGATGTTAACAGGTTTGGTTTCTTCTGAGGCCTGTCCTTGTCTTACAGATGGCTGCCTTGTTGCCTCGTCTTCACATGGTCTTCTCTCTGTGCATGCGTACCTCTAGTATGTCTTTGCGTGTCCAAATTTCTCTTATAAGAACACTATTCAGATTGGATTGTGGCCTGCCTTAACAACCTCATTTTAATTTAATCAAGTCTGTAAAGGCTCTGTCTTCAAATACAGTTACATCCTAAGGTACTAAAGGTTAGGGCTTCAACATATACACCTTTTTTTTTTTTTGCTTTGTTTTTTTTGAGAAGGAGTCTCGCTCTTGTTGCCCAGGCTGGAGTGCAATGGCTCAATCTCGGCTCACTGCAACCTCTGCCTCCCAGATTCAAGTGATTCTCCTGCCTCAACCCTCAGCCTCCCAAGTATCTGGGACTACAGGCACCCACTACCACGCCCAGCTAATTTTTGTAATTTTAGTAGAGACGGGGTTTCGCCATGTTGGTCAGGCTGGTCTTGAACTGCTGACCTCAGATGATCCACCCACCTTGGCCTCCCAAAGTGCTGGGATTACAAGTGTGAGCTACCACACCCGGCCTTCAACATATAAACTTCGAGGGGACACAGTTCAGTTCATAACAAATTCAGAATCCTGTATTTGTAAGAGATCTAGGTCAACACCCTTGTCTTACAACTGAGGAAATGGAGACTTCTTCAAATAAATAAATACTGTGTTCAAGGTCACCAAATTAGTTAGTGGCTGAGTCTAGAATTCATCACAGATATCCTGAATTCTGACTGGTTGGATTTTTGTTTTAACTTTACCACACAACTTAACTCAATTTTGATATATTTTCTATAGGTGTTGTTTCTAGAGTTGTAATTGAAAAATGAGTAGACACAATAAAAAGAGAGCCAGGATTTACAGCTAATGTTGTTCTAATCCACCTCCTCTAGTTGGACAAGCTTTATCAGAGCCAGAAAATAGTCTCAGGAAGAAAACTAGGATGGACTGGTACAACAAAGTCTGAATCTAGATTGGTTATTATGGCCATTACTTCTAACTTACTGATATAAAAATATATTCACTTTCATAGAATTCCTGAAGTTTGATTCTTGCCATGGTAGATGAAACATTCTTAACACAGGTGACTTTTATGAGAATTTTAAGCATGTACTTATGAAGTTTGTTATCTTTTGACAGTAGCGTGTAGATATCACATATAAAGTTTTTGAGAAAAAAATTAAAAAGCCAAAAACCTTATCATCTTGAAAGGCAAAATAGTAACTATTATTAGAAAAGAGAAATGACAGCAATTTTTTATTTATAAACCCAATTAAATTACCAATATTTTCTTTAACACATATTTGCTTTTTCCTTATAACTTAAATATAGCCTTCCTTTAAATTATTAATATCTGCTTAAACTTTACTGGCTCAAATATCAATTGTGCAAACATGGAGATCAATAGAATTTAATAAGAATTTGCACAATTGGCTGGGCGTGGCAGCTCACGCCTGTAATCCCAGCACTTTGGGAGGCCGAGGTGGGTGGATCACGAGGTGAGGAGATTGAGACCATCCTGGCTAGCGTGGTGAAACCCCGTCTCTACTAAAATACGAAAAATTAGCCGAGCATGGTGGTGGGCACCTGTAGTCCCAGCTATTCGGGAAGCTGAGGCAGGAGACTGGAGTGAACCCGGGAGGCAGAGCTTGCAGTGAGCCGAGATTGTGCCACTGCTCTCCACCCTAGGAGACAGAGCGAGACTCCATCTCAAAAAAAAAAAAAAAAAAAAAGAATTTGCACAATTAATAAGCTAAGAAAAATAAAAATAAAATGCAAGATGTTATCAGTAGATGAGCCAAAGCTAGACATATTTAGGCTGACTATAACAAAGTGATGCCAATATAAGTCTAATTTGCTCATTTGTAAAAATGTTTCTAAGAAAGAAAGAAAGAAAAAGAAAGGAAGGAAAGAAAGAAAAAGAAAAGAGATGGAGGAAGGAAGGCAGGGAGAGAAATAGAAAAGGGGAGACAGGGAGGGAGGGAGAAAGAAAGGAAGGAAGAAAAGAGTGATAGGGAGGAAGGAAGGGAGAAAGAGAGGGAGGAAGGGTGAGAGAGAAGAAGGAAGGAAGGAAAGAAGGAAGGAAGGAAAAAAGGAAGGAAGGAAGGCTGAATTGATTTTTGGTAGACCTCTTTAAATTATGGCAAAGAGTATGTTGTCAACTTTCTGAAACTATTTCCTGAATTTGATTAGCAAACTTATATTAAAAGAATGTCTTCAAATAGTGGAGAAAATGACTGTCTTTGCTTGTCAGATCCATAAACTCTAGGATGTGTGTTTTCCTATTCTTGACTGGGGTACCAATGTGTGACCCATCTGGTTATGACTAAGGGGCCAGATATGAATCAGCAAGCTGCTTCTCCTGATAAAATTCTTTTTCCATCACTTCTCCAGGAATATGAATCTGGAAGGTTGAAGTGTTGTGTTGAGAAAATATTTGTGTAATATACAAGGTAAGTACACTCTATGGTCAGCTAAAAAAAAATTTATTGGTTTGTGTATTGGCTCTGCACAGTTTCCCAAAAATAATTGTCAGTCATTATGGCTAGACTCCTCTCTTTTCTATCTACATATTTGTACAGTGACTCTATTAGTTACCTACCAGACTGAAAAACTCTCCTGATTTACCTGTGGTGGTGATAGATCCAGTGGAATCAGGCAGTGGGTACTTAAGACCCAAATGTCACCTCCGTATGAAAAGACTTCCTTAACCATTCTACCAAATGTAGTTCTTGAATTCCTTCTGACCTTTCATACCAACACCCTGCTTTATTTTCTTCATTACATTTACGTTTAACTGAAATTACATTATTCTCCCTCTTTTTCTGTCCTCCTTCATTAGATTGTAAGGTCTGAGTAAGTAGGGACTGGTCACTGGTCTATCCCTAACATCTAAAACAATACCTGACATAAGAAGTGTGCTTAATACACATATGCTGAATACATTAATCAAATAATTTACTGATGTACACCGTATATACTGCTCAGTGATATTATGGTTATTGTTGTCTTTCTACTTCTCAAGCAACTGGCATTTGAGAACTAGGCATTATGGGAAATCTATAATTAAAATAGTCTTCAGAGTTTTCTAATCTCCATTAACAGTTGTTTTTATAATAACTGATGATAGAAGTTTTCTACAAAGAGAACAGTGTGTTGAATTTGAGACATACCTGTAAGAGTTTAGAAAAGGAGCACTTCCTAAACATCCCTATAGAATCGTGTCACTTTCATGGAAAAATGTAAAGAAGGAGGTAACAGAGAGAAAAGGAGAAAAGGTAAAAAATAGAAGCAAAATGAAATTAGACGGTAGTTTAAAAGCATTACAAGTAACCAATAACAAAAGAAAGGGAGAAAACTTTTTCAATCACACTGCAGAAGTAATTATCGGAGCTTAACCAAAAATATGCTGCAATTTGTAGTTGACTGGGTATAAAGAGATGTTATTGGTTTCCATTATTTTTCTTGTGTCTATTCATGCCTTTCATATTATACAATTGGATATATGGATTAAAAACTAAGCAAAATCCTATTATGTAAAAGAACATTTGCAAAAAATTTAGATTATAGTAATTTGAAGGTTTAGATGTTCTAAAGAAAGCATCAGTCATACAAATTCACTAAATCAAAGTAACATAGCTGCAAAAACATCATATTAATAAGAACTTATTTCACACTCTTGATGTAGAAGAGTTTCAGCTTGTATGCTAGGCTTTTAATTATTGAATGTATGGAGATCCCCCTTTTTATGTGGAATTTAAACATTCCTGATTCAATTTACTAAGAGCTAAAGAACACCCACTTCTAACTTGTCTTCTGCATGTTATATTGTAGATTAAATATATCCAAATCAAACATCAATGTGATGTTGATATAGAAGGGGTGTCCTGCCTCATTAATTAGATAAATTAAATAGTGAGAAATGTCCATAGAATATTTCTCCAATGTCCATTCAACATGTAAAATGTCTCTTAAGTGAAATTAGGCCAATGGTGTGGAGAGAGTCTCCAGCTGTAGATCCCTTTCTTCAAAATAAATGCATTGGGAAATGTAGTAAAACTGGTAAAAGCAGACTGCTTTAGGTAAATTGTCAGTGGAGAGCTTGGATATCCACCCACTGTACTGTCCCCTACCCCATGGCCAATAAAACCCTCTGACTTTGAGTCAGAATTATTATGACATCCAAGATCCATTTATTCTTATAGCTGTGGTCTCTAAGTTTTACAAATAAGAATACATGAGAGAAGAAATTGTTTTCCTGAATCAGATTGTGGGGGCTCCTTTGCCTTCTCCATGACATAGAACTTTAGTAGAGTCTTGCATCAAATATAAAATAGAGATAGAACCTTTAAAAAAGATTTCGTAAACTCAAAAATTCTAACCAATAGTCAAGTCCGATTCTATCAGTTCTTTCTCCTCTGACAAAACCTCCCATGTCCATATTACTTGGTAAGGCATGAGAAGGGAACCTCGTCAGGAGAAACAGCCAGGTGCTTTATGCTTTCTCAGTCATGATCACATATGCCAGACATCCTGGTACCCTGGGCAAACATTAGAAACTGTAAACCTTACATTTTATTTATCTGAAAAGAGGAAGTGGTTATTTTAATTTTATCTGTAGTATTTCAAGACATTCTTTTAACATAAGTTCAGTAACTCAATTAACAGAAAATAAAATGTCATTGTTCAGAGGTATGGACAATGAAAGGTATTCTGAACTTAAAGAGGGATTAAATAGAGAGGTTAGAAGAATTAATATTTTCTGCCTGAGTTAATTTCCAATTCTTCTTCAAAATTAGACACCTGTCTTATTTGCAACAAAATTCTGCTTAAATATTTCTAGTTATCAGAGGGCATGTTATTCCAAAGTCAGACTCTTTCATTTGTGGAGTTCTAATTATCTGGCAATATTTACATAGAATTGAAATCTGTCTGCCTGTAATTATGAGCCATTATTTCTAGTTGTCCAGTACAAAAAGACAAAAGACAATCTTTTTTTTCACTTAATTATTCATTCATGAGTTCATTCAGCAAATACTGATTGGGTATATTCTCTGTGCTAGTCATTGTGCTGGGCAATAAGGATGCAAAGATGGAGAAAGGAAAGTTCCTGTCCCTCAGAAGCTCATGGTACCTTGTGTCAGACACGCACAAACTATGTCAACAGAGTTTAAAGTACAGGATTCTAGGTGCCTCTCTTCCTATTTCCATATTATTCATTTAAACCACTATTTATTCAGGTGCTCACACTGGAAGACTGAAAGTCACTTTAGAATCTATACTTTCCATCACTCTCTTATTCAGTGTTTCATCTAGCCCTAGTGGGTATATCTGTACCTCTAAAATGTATCTTGATATATCCATCTCTGTCAATCTTACTACAAGCTCCACATTCTAAGCCATCACTATTTCTCAATTAGACTAGTACGATAATTTCCTCCATTGTTTTCTTGTTTCCATTGTTGATGGTCTACAATCCATTCTTCCTGAGGACTGTAAACTTTCAAAAATATAAATCAGCTTGCATGACAAATCTGCTGAAAAATATCTTTAAGTGTTTTTTTTGTTGTTGCCCTGAAAGTGAGATCCAAATGCCTTACCTTGATCTATAGAGCTTTTCTTGATCTAGCCACTACTTTCCTTTTGAAAATTTATTAATGCCTCATATTACTCTCTCCTGGAGTTTGCCAGCATGTAGGCATTTTATTCAGAGTTGTTGTTTGTACTTTATCTCTGGGTTGATTTCCCTGTCTCTACCCTTAACACACCACTTACCCACACTTAAATAATACTGAATGTGAGACTTTCCCTAACAACCCTCGATTTAAAAAAAAAATAAGCAAAAAGACATCCCTTTCTATCACTGCATTTTTCTAAAACATTTATACAACTTTCTATATTTTGAAATTTTTCCATATTTCATTATTTTTCCATATTTTGTTTTTAACCTGTTTATTTAAAGTCTCCTCCATTAGGCTATGAGTTCCATAACGGCTTGTTGCTGAATCCCTCATGGCTAGTTTATTGCTGACTTATATTAGTCACTCAGCAAATACTGTTGAGTGAATAGGCAAATGAATTAATCAATACATAGAAACAGAACCTACCACAATTTTGGAGTATCTATTGCCTAACTTAACGTTGATAAAGTTAAATTATCAGGTGAATACATACACATACTCAATACACACATATATTTCTTATTTTATCTTTTTATATAGGGTTTGTATCTCAGTCTGGTTATCATCCTAGTGACTTTTTCAGATAATTGTTTCAATATTCACCTTAAAATATGAAGGCCAAATATTACTACAATATAAACAGCAGTGACATTTATGGAATAAATTTGATAAAACATATTGGAATGTAATATTCACTACTTTAACCCTCTAACCCCAGGAACTGTATTTTGTCCTAAGAAAATAATTAAATCTGTAGACAACTGTTTAAATGCAAGCATTTTGTTATTGTTGTTGTTACCCTGCTGTTTAATAAAAGAGAAGTACTGGATTAAATCAAAATAGCTATCCAATAATATAATTTAAGCACAGATATAATGAGATATCCCTGAATAATTTTCAAAGAAACTTAAGTTCATCATTAAAAGTTACTAAATCCAAAAGTAAACAAACCAATGTGATCAAGAGTCATCAGAAATAACAATAGAATAAGATCCAAAAATATTTCAAATATTGAATCTTTTAGGCAGAGAATATACAATAAATATTTAAGTTGTATAAAAACCTAAGAGAGTAAAGAAAAAAAGGAATGATAAATTACTAAATTTAAAAATTACTAAATGTAACTAAACAAATTTGGTAACTAAATACAGAATATAGAAATAAAAATTAATTGAAATTAAAAATTCAAAAGAGGCTTTTAGTAATAACTAAGTAATTTGGATTGATGTTGTCACTGAGGTCAAAATGTATGTTTTCAAAAGACTTCTTAAAAGCCAGTGTCTGGAATAAGATGAAAATTCAGAGACATGTCTGATACTTAGAACCACTTTCACCTTGGAGTGGCTGCTGATGTTGCAAGTGATGCTTGAGACTCCAGAGAGATTGTACAGTGCTTTCATCAGCCTCCTAGGTAAGAAAGGCTCAAGCTGAATACTGGTATCTGCCAAGGACTCCAAGTAAGTAGTTGATAGAAATAACAGTGCATAATGAGTAGACCAGTCTACATAGAGACTACAGGCCAAATTGGAACTATCTCAATCTTTGAAATTAAATTCAGGTAATAGGACATTGCGAGTTCCCAGGAGCCCATAAGAAGCAAGTAAAAAATTATCTCTGAAGTGAGACATAATCCTAGGCCTTGCATTATTTTTGTAATTTTTCAAGTACAGTGTGCTGCAAGCGAAAATAATAAAAATTAAAAATAATCAGGCACATCATGATATAAGACAACATGAATGAGACCCGGAAGAAATGATAAGCAATTGAAACAGACACAGGGAAGCTGCTGTTATTTCATGTTGTTATTCAGAATTGTCAAGACATAGATTTTGAAAAAAAATAAGTTTAACATCTTCAGTAAAAGGAAAGGTGAAATTGAGAATTTTTAAAATAAGCTATATAAAAGAAAACATGGGAAAAGTATACATATTCTACAACCAAAATGTAAATAATCAAATTAGGAATTCAACAACAAATTAAAATTTGAATATAAGTCAGAAAAACATATCCAGGAGAAAAAAAGAAAGAAGAAAAATAAAGGGAAAGTAAGTGACATAAACAATACTGTTCAAGTTATACATTTGACTCTTGTTTATGGTAGTTATGTTCTATAAAGTTGCTGCAGGTACTGCATTAGCAAATACTGAAATATTTTTTCAAGGGGACATAAGGATTAGGTTTCTATGAGTGTCTGGTCACATTTCTCATCAACTGATCAATACATGACTTTGGTTCCTGTGTGTTTCTATTTAAAGACACTTTATTATTGCTATTATTATTTTTTGAGCCATTCTGCCCAGCTAATTTTTGTTGATTTTTGTGGAGACGGGGTTTTGCCATGTTGCCCAGGCTGGTCTTGAACTCCTGGGCTCAAGTGATCCACCCCCCTCACCCTCCCAACACTTTATTATAATATATATTAGTTAATTAACAGTGAAGTCACAGCCAACAGCACTGTAGCTCATACTTGAATGAAACTTATATAACACTCATATTTTTTCAGTCAAGAACATACATCACAGCCTGTTTGTTCTTAGGAACACTAGGCAGCACTTCAGTAGTATACTTGTTGCCATTTTTAAACAGCAAAATCACCAACTAAAAGCACAAAATGGGTAAAATATAGCATTTAAATAGACAGCAAAAAGGGCAGGACTCGGCTGGGTGCTGTGGCTCACACTGGTAATCCCAGCACTTTGGGAGGCAGAGGCGGGTATATCACTTGAGCTCAGGAGCTCAAGACCAGCCTGGCCGACATGGCGAAAACCCATCTCTACTAAAAATGCAAAAATTAGCCAGGCATGGTGGTGCACATCTGTAATCCCAGCTACTTGGGATGCTGAGGCAGGAGAATCTCTTGAACCTGAGAGGTGAAGGCTGCGGTGAGCTGAGATTGTGTCATTGCAGTCCAGCCTGGGTGACAGAGCAAGACTACGTAAAAAAAAAAAAAAAAAAAGGCAGCAAGACTTATTTATAGCCTGAGAGCTGAAACAAAAGGACAGTATCACCTTGTTTGACCCCAACTTCAAGACTGTCAATTAACTACTCAAACATTTCATCTCTGTGCATGCCTGCTAGTGACTGCACAAGCACCATGATTATTGATTTTGAGGTTACAAAAAAACTTTAGCAAGTAAGCAAATTCACAAATTCAGAATTTCCAAATAATGAGAATCAATTATGATTGGTGTAGCAAAAAGAATGCAGAAAGTGGTGTAGAAACAGCATTTTAATAGATAATAGGAATTATCCAACACTGAAGACATATATTAATTCTCAAATTTAGGGATCCCTCATGTCCCAAGTAGGATACATAAAAATCCTCACACAGTCATGTGAAATTTTTAAGTGAGAATTCATATCTCAGCAGAACTCAATATAAGAATAATATGCTTCAGAATAATAAAGTTTCA
Organism: Homo sapiens; assembly: GCF_000001405.40. Classification (NCBI taxonomy): domain Eukaryota; kingdom Metazoa; phylum Chordata; class Mammalia; order Primates; family Hominidae; genus Homo; species Homo sapiens. The sequence goes on from NC_000003.12 coordinate 82,241,006, forward strand.
ATTAAGTCTACTTGTAAGATGCTTCCGAATAATAAAAAATAGCAATTCTAAATATGTGTGCACCTAACAACCTAGTCTCAATTTTATAAAGCAAAAATGAAACAGAGCTGTAAGAAAAAACAGATAAAACCATCAGCATAACATTAGATTAAAAAATATATCTCTGTGACTATGAGAAAAACAAACATAAAGAGGTTTGAATATTGAAAAAACACAATGAGTAAACTAATCCCCGTAAACATACATATGTTCACCCAACCATTGTAGAATGCCAAGAATCTTACAAAATGACCTTAAGAAAATAGTGTCCCCTGGCCAAAATTAAATTATGCTTCAAAAAGTCGTAAAATCCTAACTATAAAATACCCAAATATTCAGAATAATGTGTGAGACAAGGAAAAAATTAACAATGGGCACAGGTAAATTTTTTGAACTAATTATATTCAAGATTGTTTGAATTGTGAGATTGTGAGATTTGAGTTGTGAGATTCAGGTAAAGTATAAAAAATTTTTCTGCTGTAATCTGTATATTAGTAAAGAAAAAAGGCTAAAAATAAAAAAAAAAGCCCCTTACAAAAAGCAGAAAGAGAAAAACAAAATAAACGTAAATGGAAAAGGACATAATAAAAACAAATTAATGAAACAATACAGGTATAAAATAGAATATTAACAGAATTAAAAGTTGTGTCTTTGAAAGACCAATAAAATTTATAAACATCTTGTGAAACTAAATTGAAAAAAAAACAGGAAAGAAATCAGTCAATATAAATAATGTAAAGTAGTGTCTCTAAAGATTATACTCATATTAAAATAATAAGATGTTATAAACCTATGCAAATAAAATTTTAATTATAACTAAATGCCTATATTCCTTAAAATAATGTATGCTATTTTCTGTAAGAGAAAATAATAAAATATGACACATTTAAATACTTTTATGAATAAAACTTTACAAAAATATATTAAAGAAAAACCTAAGCCATGTTCAGAAAAGGAGATTTAATAATGAATGCATGACAATTCTTCCACAATCACTATCTAGATTTAATGTCACTTAAATCAAATTTCTACCAAGGATTGCCATGTAGTTAAAAAAGTCTCAAAATATATTATTTGAAGTTACACTTTTTGGTGGTAAAACGATAAAGGAAAGGAAGAAAATAATTCAAGAGAATGATTATCTTTGAGTGATGAAGGAGAATATGATTTGGGAAACGCACAGAGAGGCTTCAAAGGAATTGGCATTGTTCTGTTTTCAGCTGATTTGTGATAACTATCTGTTCTTTTTGAAAATTATCCTAAAGTTGTACATACATGTTTTATACATGTTTTGTATGTGTGATAGTTTTGTAGTTAAAATCTTAATTGAATAAACAATAAAACTATAATTATAAAACTGTAGAGCATGTGAGATCTCATATACACATATCTATAAATATGTACATATCTGGGATAAAACTTAATCATAAAATTTTTCTTCCAAATCTTGGTTAAGAAAAAGGAAAATATTCTCATTAAAAAACTACAGTAAATTTTTGTTATTTATTTATTTATTATTTATTTATTTATTTTGAGATAGAGTCTCGCTCTGTCACCCAGGCTGGAGTGCAGTGGCAAGATCTAACAGTTGTAGACCTAGATTTTCCTCTGAGACACACATTCTGTCTATTCTGGGACAAATGCCATTGAGTACTAATTTTAGATTATTGTAAAACAAATACCTATCCAGTATTCCCAGAAAAGAACCAAAGACTACAAAGGAAATTATTGCAAAACCATTTGAATGATTTAATCTTTAATGTGGTTTAGTAATTGGGTAATTATTTTAGATCAAATTTAGATTTTCTAAAACTCTAAATGTGCTTCTTTCTATATTATTGTGAGTATAAGGAAAAGACTGAAAGAAATATTCTGCATTGTTAATAGTCATCATGTAAAGTTGGTGGGATTATGCAAGATTTTTTTTTTTTTGAGATGGAGTCTGGCTCTGTCACACAGGCTGGAGTGCAGTGGCGCGATCTCAGCTCACTGCAACCTCTGCCTCCTGAGTTCAAGCGATTCTCCTGCCTCAGCCTCCTGAGTAGCTAGGATTGCAGGTGCGATCCACCACCCCTGGCTAATTTTTGTATTTTTAGTAGAGATGAGGTTTCACCATGTTGGCCAGGCTGGTCACGGACTTCTGACCTCAAGTGATCGCCCACCTCGGCCTCCCAAAGCGCTGGGATTACAGGCATGAGCCACCATGCCCTGTTTGCAATATCTTTAATCTTCATATTTGTATGCATTTTTCGCTTCTTAAAAGGAGTATATGACTGTAAGAGAAAAATGAACTTTAATAAATTTCAGAGCCCAGCACAAAACATAAACCTCCAGTTGTGGCCTGAACAATGCGGAGTTCAGTGGGATAATTACCTTCTTTATCTGGACTCTAGACTTGCATTATTGTGCTCAGTGTGGTGTTAACTGCCACGTCATCTTTTTGGCTTATATTGATGTTGTAGTCAACCAGAACACAAAGATTTTATCAAGTAGATTGCTATTAAGATAGAATAGTACAAGAGATTTTGTTAACTGAAATGAAGAACATTTTCCCAGTTAATGTAATTGTGTGTCCAAGTTCATATTCTTAGCTTTTCAGAATGCTTCGGGAGAACAATGGAGAGCTGGATGACCTTGACTTCTACTTAACTTTCTCTCCTATAATTCCTATCATTTTATTTATATATGCATGCTTAGATAACCTATACCCTTGAAAAGATAACCCCCCAAATCCCTTTCACACTTCAATAACACGTTTAAACACTGCCTTTTAACCCTTTATTTAAATATATTGAAAGATAAGTTTTCATTAGTTAAAACTTACTGGGCCTTTGCAACTTATATTCTGCTCATAACATTCTCTGGCTACTTACATAAAGACATTTAAAGACATTCTAATTATAAACATGAAAATTATTTCCTCTTAGTACATCCTACTGAACCATGATCTGCCATCTCTTAGGAATAAGACTCTAATCCAAGAGCTATAATGGCAGAAATTCAGCCCCTAGTTTGGAGCTTTATGTAGGCGAGGTTTCCCAAGCTGAAGCAAGCACTTAACTTAGTAAAAGATAAATCCTAGGAACTTGGACATCCAAGGACTGGAAAATACATGACATTAAGAAAATGATTGAAATTTGTCACACCCGCTGGATTTTCAGATTCTGTCATAAATCCAGCATAAATGTAATATAGTTGATTTTTGGTAAACAGCACCTAGTTTCATCATTCTTACAAGACATAAAACTTAGAATCACCGTACGTTTTTTTTTTTCACTTTCTCATGCACTTCACAACTCCATCGAGACAAAAATCTCTAAAGCTTCAATTTTCTTTTGGAGAACACTATCTTTTCTGCCTTTATACTTGCTCAACTGCCTCTTTTTGTTTTCTTGGCTCTTATCTCCACTCACTGTAATTATTACCAGAATATTGTAGGGATTCTCCCTGTTGACACTGTGGGCCTCCTCCAATCTATCTTCCTTGCTGTTGTGAGAATAAACTTCATATAATGTAGTTCTAACTGCGTCTCTTCCCTTCCTTTAATACCTCAGAATACAACATCTCCCACTGCAAGGTTCAAATTTCTTAGCTTAGTACACTAAATACTTGTGGCTAGGTTTTTTCCTACCTACCTAGCTTTATTTACTCCAGTGTCCTCTCATTGCACCATTCTTTACAGTCAGTGCCCTTAATGTGCCAAGATTTTCCCCATTTCCATGTCCCTTTTCCTGTTGATCTCTCTGCTACAATGACTTATTCATCCCACTCCTCTAATCTTGTTTCATTTGGCTAACTCCTGTTCCTTCCAAATTTGGTTCAAATGTCAACTCAAACTCCCAAAATGATTTTAAAGGCCTTCATTTGGGATTCCATGAATACTTGTAAACTTTTCTTATAACGTTTAACAAACTTAGTTATCTCCTACGATAAGCTACAAATTTATTGAGGACAGGAACCACATCTTGTTTGATTTTGTATCTTTAGTGCCTAGCAAAATGATTAGCTCTCAGTGGTCTCTTGATAAATATTTTTTGACATAATATTTGTCATCTGTATTTCCTAGAGAACACTGAGACAAGGAAATCCCACAGTTAATCACCTCTGAAACGACAACCATGCACGCACTCACCACACATTTTTTTCCTTATAGACAGCTTTTTTTTTCCTGTAATTTTTTGCGAGTTACCTTTCATTTAAGTTTTCCTGCTAACATGATTCAAATTTCTCTTTATGCATCTATTCTTCCTCAACCTCATGGTGATGGGGTGGATATATGACATTTGTGCAAATCAGACAATCAGGACATTTTTATTCTCTTGGCTTGAATAATTAGTTCATGGATTTGTGACCCAATTAAAGGCATGGAGAGTCAAATAAAGTTTGCCAGGGCCGTTGGAAAGGAAACACAGGTATTTTTTTCACTGGGTTTACATGTTGGAATATGTAGAATGGGAACTTCTGGTAGATCATCTTAATACGAGGTGGTGACAAGAAGGAAGTCAGCCTAGAGTAGAGAAGAGCAAAATAATATAGAGAAATCAGATCTAGAATCAGCATTTGTGTCTCTGAATCAAACAGAGATTTAGCTAGACACTTTTTTTTAGTTGTGTGAACTAATAAATGTATCTGTTTATTTGTTTATTTATTTACCTAAGATGAACTGGATTTTCTGCACCCAAAAGTGTCTGAACCAAAGTTAGCCTTTCCATGTGTGTCTCGATATACAACCTCATATTGCGCTCCTGTAAATGATTTCTTAATATCTACAGGCTGTTCTGGTATGAAAAGTTGCTCATGATTGGTTTCACATTCATCAATCAAGGCTTATATTTTTTCTATGTTCTCCTCTTCTCTATGTAAGCTATTGTGACTAACTTAGTTTTTCCTATTGAGCCATTCACTTTTAGAGACTAATTGCCTAAGTTCATGTTGTTCAGACCATTGTAATATATTGTACTATACATAATTTAGTATATGCAATTTCTACATTAATGACTCTTTCTACTAGGTTCTAAGTTATTTGAGAGTCTCCATTAGGAAAGATTGTCAGGAAAACAGAAAAGTTTTTTTTTTTTATCAAAAGACTTTTTTTTTTCATTTTCTTGAGCTATAAAGTACACAATTTCATTAGTTTTAACATATGTATACACCTATGAAACCATTCACAAATTCAAACTAATGAATATATCAAATACCCACAAAAGACTCTTCATGATCCTTTATAATACAGTAATCCTTCAGTACACTGCAGGGGATTTGTTTTAGGATCCCCTACAGATACCAAAATCCGTGGATGCTTAAGTCTCTTATGTAAAATGGCATAGGATTTGCATACAACCTATGCACATTCTCCAGAATACTTTAAATGATCCCTAGATTACTTATGATACTTAACACAATGTAAATGCTTTGTACATAGTTGTTATAATGTATTTTTAATTGTTGCATTAAAAAAATTTCATTTCAGAGTTGGCAGAATCCACAGATATAAAACCAGCAGATAAAAGGGCTGCCTATACATTTATCAATGGCCCACCCACCCCTGTCTGTAGGCAACTGCTGATCTGTATGTTGTCACTACAGATTTATTTGTACTTTCTAGAGCATTGTATAAATGGAATCACAAGCTAGAACTACTTTTGGTCTGTCTTTTTTCATGCAGCATAATTATTTTAATATTATTCATGCTGCTTTATGTATCAGTTCATTCCTCCTTATTGCTGAGTGGTATTCCATCATATGGATACATCACAGTTTGTTTATACATTCATTGTTGAAGAATATTTATTAAAAATAAAATTGCTATGAGCATTCGAATATAAGACTTTGTAAAAAAAATAGGCTTTCATTTCAATTGGTTAAATATCTAAAATTGGAATGGCTAAGTAGTGTGATGGATGCATGTTCAAGTTTAAGAAACTAGCAAAGTATTTTCCCAAGTGGTTTTAGCCTTTTAGGTTCCCAACAACAATATAAGAAAGTTCAGTGGCTCTGCACACTCACCATTTCAATGTGGTTTAAATTATCTTCAATGGTTTATTCTAGAAATTCTATAGTTTAACTCATATTTTGATAAGTGATTGCTTTTAAATTATATTTTATATATGGCATAAGGTAAAGATTTGATTTTTTTTTATTTTTTGCATATGGCTATTCAATTGTTGTAGTGGCAATTATTGAAAAGATTAAGATTTCCAGTGAATTGCCTTGCCAGCTTTCTTAAAAATTAATTGAATGTATGTTCAGGTCTATTTGTGGATTCTATTCTGTTCTGTTGATTTGTTTGTCTATCTATATGGCAATGTTACACACTATCTTGATGAATGATGGTTTTAAAGATAGGTAGATGGTTTTAAAGATAGAGTATATTCTTCTATCTCAAATACATTGGGACTCCCATGTGCTTTTATTTTTTTTTTTCCTATACAACGTTTCAAATTAGCTTTTAGTTTTCAAAAACTTGGGAATTTGATTTGGAAATTGACGTCTTAAACAATATTGAGGCCGGGCGCAGTGGCTGACGCCTGTAATCCCAGCACTTTGGGAGGCCCAGGCTGGTGGATCACCTGAGGCCAGGAATTCAAGACCAGTCTGGCCAACATGGTGAAACCCTGTCTCTACTTAAAATACAAAAATTAGCCTGACATGGTGGCAGGCACTTGTAATCCCAGCTGCTTGGGAGGCTGAGGGAGGAGAATATCTTACACTTGGGAGGCAGAGGTTGCAGTGAGCCAAGACTGCACTACTGCACTCCAGCCTGGGTGACAGAGCAAGACTCTGTCTCAAAAACAGCAACAACAACAGCAGCAACAACAACAATAAAAACCCAAAAAACAATATTGAATCTTCTGATCCATAATTGGTATATATGGTATATATTTCTATTTATTTAAGTTTTCTAATTTTTAATCAATGTTTGTAGGTTTTCAGTGTATAGATCTTGCTTATATGTTGATAAATTTAATGCTAATATTGCACATTTTATGGTCTTTTAAATAGAATTTCAAAAACTTTAATTTTGGATTATTTGTTTCTAGTATATCGAAATACAATTTATTTTTGTATGTTGTTTATACATTCTGTAACCTTGCTAAACTTACTTATTAGTTCTAGTAGCTGTTTTGAAGGTACCGTAGGGTTTTTTGTGTTTTTTTTTAAATGTAAAATTCATGTTGTTTCCAAGTGAAACAAGTTAGTTGTGTATTTCTAATCTAGTTGCTTTTTTCCCCACTTGCCTTATTACACTTGATAAGACCTCTAGAATAATGTTAAAAAGACATAGTGACCCAGCACTTTGGGAGGCCAAGATGGGTGGGTCACCTGAGGTCAGGAGTTCGAGACCAGCATGACCAACATGGTGAAACCCTGTCTCTACTAAAAACAAAAAATTAGCTGGGCGTCATGGTGCATGCCTGTAATCCCAGCTACTTGGGAGGCTGAGGCAGGAGAATTGCTCGAATCTGGGAGGCTTAGGTTACAGCGAGCTGAGATTGTGCCATTGCACTCCAGCCTGGGCAAGAGCGAAACTCTGTCTCAAAAAAAAAAAAAAAAAAAAAAAAAAAAAGGAAAGAAAAGAAAACAAAATAGTGAGAGAACAGACATCCATGTCTTGTTTCTGACTTTGGTGAGGAAGCTTTCAGTCTTTCATGAATGAGTATGATGTTAGTGTCTATATATCTGGATATGTAGATATACGTATCTACATATCCATATATATGTATATGTATCAGTTACCTTTTCCAGAATGGGTAAGTTTCCTATTGTTCCCATTTAAGAGTTGCAGCATCAATTAATATTGGATTTTGTCAAAAAATCTTTCTGTTTCTATTGAAATGATGGTATGGAATTTCTTTTATTATCTGTTTCTATGGTTAATTTTATTTATTAATTTTTTAATATTTAACTTACTTTGAATTCTTGGAATAAATTAAACTGGTCAAGATGTATTATCCTATTCACATATTTTAAAATTCTATTTGTAAAAATTTTGTTTTGAAGCTTGACATTTATGTTCATGAAGTATATTAGTTTGTACTGTATGTTGAATGTCTTGGTGCTGGCCTCACAGAATAAAGTGGCTTTCTCCTTCAGTTTTCTGGCAGAACTTGTTAAGTATTGATGTAATTTATTTCCTAAATTTTCAGAAGAATCTAATAGTGAAATTATGCAGAGTTTTCTCTCTTAGAAGTTACTTGACAAACATAATTTTTTTAAAAAGTAAACACTAAAAAATTAAAATAAAAAGCAGTTACTTGATTAAAAACGTAATTTAACAAATAAATAAAAGGTTATTCAGGTGTTTTTTTTTTTTAGTTAACTTTGGTGGCTCATGCCTTTTAATTTGTCCGTGTCTTCTAAGTGGTTAAACTTATTCTAATAATGTTCATAATAAGTCGTTGTTATCCTTTCTGTCCTGTAAAACTTTTAGTGATATCACATCTCTCATTCTTGCTATGGATAACTTGTGTGTATTTTCCTGACCACTCAGCAGAGCAATTCATCAATTTTATTAATCTTTTCAAAATGCCATTTTTTTGTTTCATTGATTTTTTTCTATTTTTAATTTCACAAATTTCTGTTTTACTCCCTTATTATTCTCTTTTTTTCTGTTTTATTTGGCTGTAATTTCCTCTTATTTTTCCAGTTCCTTAATGTGAAAGTTGAAGTCATTGATTGGAGAGCTTTCTTCTTTTCAAACATAGGCATTTATTGCCAGAAATTCTTATCTAAGAACTGTTTTAAATGCAATCCTCAAGTTTCTACATATTATGTTTTCTTTATAATTTTGTTCAAAACACTTTCTAATCTTGCTTTTGATATTTTTATTTGATCTATGTTATTTTGAAGTATACTGATTAGTTTCTTGCTGGCCATTTTAATGTATCTTTGAATAAACACCTGTTCAAGCCCTTTGGTTATTTTGAGTTATTTGTTTTTTGGATCTTGATTTAAAGTAGTTCCTTACATGTTTTGGAGATTACTCTTTATCAGACTTATGTTTTGCAAACATTTTTCCCATTCCATAGGTTACCATTTCACTCTGTGGACTGTCTCCTTTACTGTGCAGAAGCATTTTAGTTTGATGCAATCCTACTTGTCAATTTTTGCTTTTTTTTTCCTGTGCTTTTGTTACCATTTGTTGCCATTGCATTTGGTATCATATCCAAGAAATCATTGCCAAGACCATTGTCAAGAAGCTTTCCTCCTATGTTTTTTTCTAGGAGTTTCACAGTTTTGATTCTTAATCGATTTTGAGTTGATTTTTGTATATGGCATAAGACAAGAGTCCAATTGCATTATTTTACAAGCAGTTATCCTGTTTTCCCAAGAGCATTTGTTGAAGACACTATCCTTTCCCCCTTGTGTATTCTTCTGAGCACCCTTGTCAGACATCAGTTGATGGTACAGTAATGAGCTGTATAGTGATGTTTTGATCAATGATGAATGACTTTTAAGTTGTGATCCCATAAGATTATAATACTGTATTTTTATCACATCTTTTCTATGTTTAGCTACACAAATACTATTTTTTTTACAATTGCCTAGGGTATTCAGTACAGTAACATGTTATTCAGGTTTGAAGCCTAGGACCAATAGGCTATACAATATAGTCTAGATGTGTACTAGGTTATACCACCTAGGTTTGTATAAGTACAATCTATGATGTTTGCAGAACAATGAAATCACCTAATGGCATTTTTCTCAGAACACATCCCCTTCATTAAGTGACTCTTGATTGTATATAAATTGTTTTTTTGCGGGGCTTTCTAATCTGTTCCGTTGATCTAAATGTCTGTCTTTATGCCAGTCCTATATTGTTTTGACTGCTGTAACTTTATATTTTGAAATCAGGAAGTGTGATGACTTCAACTTTATACTTCTCAAGATTGCTTTGCCTTTTCAAGGTCTGTTGTTTTGCCATATGAAATTTAGAATTGCTTTTTCTATTTCTATAAGAAATGTTATTGGAATTTTAATGGGTATAGCATGAGATCTGTAGTTTTGTTGATAGTATGGATATTTTAACAATATTAATTTATTCGATCTGAACATGAATGCCTTTCCATTTATTTGTGTCTCCTTCACTCTTTTTCATTAACATTATTTTACTTCCTTTGTTAATTGCATGTATTTTAAAATTCAACATCAGGCACTAAATTTTGCTTTGTTTTGTGCTTGGTATTTTTGTATCTCCATAAATATGTTTGGGCTTTGTTCTAAAAAGCTGTTAAGCAATTTAAAAACCATATCATCCCTTTGCCACTTGCTTCAAAACTTCGTTAGATAGGACCTGAGCAGCCTTCCATTGGGAAAATGCCATTCTGCATAATCTACACAAGTCCCATGAATTAGAATATTTTTCTACTCAGTCTGGTGGAAACATAAACATTTCCCAGTTTTGTGTAAATTCCAGAGACAGTATTACATGCCCTTTCAGGTAATTCTCAGGCAGTTTTCTCCCACACATGCATTCATCAGTAGTAAGCTGAAAACTCAAAAGGGATCTTCTGCAAAGCTCTAGAGCTGCCTGTCTATGCACATTTCTTCTCTCTAGCATGCTGTCTTGTAAACTGTAATCACTCAGGCCTTCATGGACATTTACCTTCATATTCTCACCTCTGGGAGACCACAAGACTCCACCTGTCTTCCCCTCCTGTACTATGGCTTGTAAATACTCTTTAGGAAGTAAGACAAGGCAATCATGGACCCTGTTCGTTTGTTTCTATTCCCTCAAGGATTGTTGTTTTCGACTGCCAGATACCCAGTCCTTGAAAAACATGTTTACTATTGTATCCAGTTTTGTTATTTATTTCAGCTGAGGGGAAAAATTTATTCTAGGTTGATCCCTATTGCTAAAAGCAGAAGTAGAAAAATTATTGAAACCGGGAATAATAAACTTATACAACCTTTGAAAGGTTTGGGGCCTGAGATCAGAAAGGCTGTTTCCAATATAAAGTACAAGAACTGATGGCAAGATTCTTCCAGTCCTGCTAGTCACTTATAAAAATCATCATGGTGGGTGATTTTTCTGGAAGACCTCACTCTTCCCAACCTGAAATCCAAGGGAATTCTCTACTAGTTATATTAGCTGTTTGCGTACAACAAGGGATTCCAGAAAGACTTCTGAGAGTCAGGAAAAGCCACTGTAGATGATCTCTACTGCCTGAATGCAGGTGCCACTGTAGAAACAGAGCTTATTTGTCTCCTAAAGATATCACTAGAGAACCTTCCATTGGTAGCTCTAACTAAGAGTAATAGTGTAAAAGAACTGTGACAATCGTAGGCTTGATCTTCTCCCCTGCAGGAGAAATGGAGGTCAGGGTAATGCCAGTTTGACAATGGAAAATCTAGCATAATCTATGTTAATGAAGTGTAGCATAATATTTGACATGTAGTAGATATTTGACAAGTATTGAATGAAAGAATGAAATGAGTTTTGGTAAGGAGTTAAATATATATTTGTTTTATTTTTAAATTTCTTATTTTTAAGCATTAAGGGTACATAATAGGTATATATATTTATAGATTACATGTGATACTTTGATTCAGGCCCATGATTTTTTTTTTTTTTTTGAGATGGAGTCACACTCTGTCACCCAGGCTGGAGTCCAGTGGTGCAATCTCAGCTCACTGCAGCCTCCGCCACCTGGGTTCAAGTGATTCTCCTGCCTCAGCCTCCCGAGTAGGTGGAATTATAGATGAGCCCAACCACACCCAGCTAAATTTTGTATTTTTAGTAGAGACAGAGTTTCACCATGTTGGCCAGGCTGGTCTCGAACTGCTGATCTCAAGTGATCTGCTCCCAAAGTGCATTCAAATTTGTTTTAATGTTCAAGAATTACAGGAACAAAGCAACTAATAGGCCATTACGTTATTCAGCAGATCTGGTTTTTTTTTTTTTTTTTGCTATAAGATAAATGACTCCTTTATTTTTTTTAAACAGAGTATATAAAATACACTTGAATGAAATGTCACACTGTTTAGATAGAGAAATTGCTGAAGGCATGACTAAATATCTCTAAAGAGATGGATGGAATAAATACTAACTCAAAAAAAGCACACTCTTTTCAAATGTTTATGAGAGCTTTCTGAAATTACTAGTTTTTCTTTTTCTTTTTTTTTTTTTTTTTTTTTTTTTTTTTGAGACGGAGTCTGGCTTTGTCACCCAGGCTGGAGTGCAGTGGTGCAATCTCGGCTCACTGCAAGCTCCGCCTCCTGGGTTCACGCCATTCTCCTGCCTCAGCCTCCCGAGTAGCTGGGACTACAGGCGCCCGCCACCGTGCCTGGCTAATTTTTTCTATTTTTGGTAGAGACGGGATTTCACCGCGTTAGCCAGGATGGTCTCGATTTCCTGACCTTATGATCCACCCGCCTTGGCCTCCCAAAGTGCTGGGATTACAGGCGTGAGCCACCATGCCTGGCCACTAGTTTTTCTATAACCCTGTAGTATTCTGTCTGAAGGATCTTAAACATGGTACTATTTTACAGTTTACAAAAAAGTGTTTCATGTTTAAAATATAATGCTAAATGAGAGATTTTGATATTTCAATTCTGATAGCTATAGAACTAAAATTAAAAATACCATAAACTATTACAAGAAGAATTTAGGTTAAGTTTCTTGGAAACAGTATAGTGGGTATGCATTGTTGAGCATGCTTACTTATACATAATTAAATCATACTGATATCACTGTATTATACGTGCTTGTTTTCTTCTTTTTAAACCAGAATCATAATAGAATCTCTCTAATCAGTGGCTGTTATTAACTGTGAAGCAAAAAAAATTCCAACATCCCAGGCAAATGGTTAATGGAGAAAATGTCTGTGTTATCAGGCTGTACTTATTAGCCATTATTATTATTTTGGATTACATCAAGTGGCCAAGATAAAATATGTTCACTGAAAGTGCCTAATTTAACTAAATTGTCTTTATTAACAAGGCCCTATTAAGTGGTTTCAGCTGTAATAGCATTTGAGTTCCATTAGGTTTTGAAGTGATTTAGAAATTCAAATTATTTTTAAAAATTAGATGTCAGGGTACTGTATAATTAGTAAATACTAGGTTGAAGTTGCAAATTTATACTCAGTAGAGAAATTAAGCAGAAATATTGGGTGTTGTTGAACTACAAACATAGAGTTGATAAAACACTTTTAAAGCAACTTGTTTTTGGGCATATGTAATAGAAAATATTTAAGCATTAAAAAATATTATGTTTATTTTAGTAAGATATAAATACAAAAATTAAACTCATAATTTTCATTATAAAGGAAAAAACTATAATAGATATTTTACTTGTATACCCACATAGGGAACCTGCTAATTAATTTCAATAAATAATTGTACCACGTAATTCTTAAAATTATGTCTGATATAAAAAGAATAAAATAAACACATAAATAATAAAATAAGATCTCTAATGTACTCCTGAAAAGGTCATTAATGGTAATAAAATTTTAAATTAATTTTAAGAGGAAAACTCAGTTTCCTAAATCAATAGCAAAGAATAGAATAAAGCTGGAATTTATTTTATTGTGTCTTTTGTTAATATTCCATATGTTGATTCATATTTCCTGTGCTAACACTATGCAGTCAGCATTCTTTTAGCCTCTAAATATATAGTGACAAGAAACACAGGCATGATTTCTTCTGGAGGATGACAATTCATATTAAGTAGTTACTTTTGGCAAATTCTATTAAAGAAAAATTCAAGAAAAAAAATTCTAAATCAACTTTTGCAGGAAACTGCAGAGAAGAGAATAATTTGCAACCCATTCTTCTGAGGCCCAAATTAACTCAATACCAACACAACATAAGGACACTATAAGAAAACTGTAAGTACTCTTCATAAGCACAGGTATGATAATTTTTAAATTAAAATTTAATAAATGAAATCCAACAATACACAAAATTGATTCTACATTGCAACTAAGAAGGGTTTATACCAGGAATGCAAGGTTAGTTTACCATTAAAAGAACAAAATCAGAAAAGTATGTGGTCATCTCGCTAGAGGTTTAAAAAAAAGCATTTAAGAAAAATAAAAATCTATTTATTTATAAAAATAGCAGGAATCTGGGGAAGAAATCAAATGTTCTCAGTCTCAAGAGGGGCATTTTGAAAAAAATATACAAGTAAAATACTTATTTGTAAAAGAATGAATCTTTTTCCATTTAAGATTAAGAAAAAAGTCAGGGATGTTTGCACTCACAAATTCTTTTCAATATTTCAGTATAAAAAGTCAAGAGAAATACATAAAAGCCATTCAGATTGAGTAAAAGCTGTAAAACAGTCTTTTTGTCTCATAAAATCATGTATATATAAATCCTATGAAAACAACACAAAAATACTTAAACTAATAAGTGTTTTTGTATTACCTAATAATTTTACAGGATAAAAGGCCAGTACAAAAAAAAAGAAACAAGTTATTTTGGTATACCAGCAATGTATACTTGGAAATTGAAATTAAAAATTGAGTAACACTTACATGGGCATCAAAAATATGTAATACTTTAGGATAAATATGATAAAAGACATGCAAAATATGTGTATTAAAAACTAACATATTTTGAGGGAGAAATTAACCAATATCTAAATAAATGGAGTTATATTCCATGCTCATGGAACTGAAAATTCAGTATTACTAAATTGTCAATTTCTCCAAATTAATGTTTAGACTTACAAGAATCTACACCAAAATTCCAGCAGGCATTTTAATAAAAATATAAAATCTGATTCTAGAATTCATATAACAATGCAAGAAACTAGAACAGCTAAAACAACTTCGAAAAAAGAACCAAGTTTGAAGACTTATTCTACTAGATTTCAAGATTTATTATGAGGTTTCCATAACCAAAAGAGTAGTATAGTATTGGCAGCAAAAGAGGCAACCAGATAAATGAAAGTGAATTCAATGTTCAGATATAGACCCATATGTAGATAATTTTTGAAAAAGTAATGAAGATAATTCATTGGAGAAAAATAAAATATTTCAACAAGTGTATTAAAACAATTGTGTATTTGTGTGTAAAGAAAAAGTAAACTTTCATCTATACATTGAACCATATTCTGACATTAACTAAAAATGAATCATGGACTTAAATGTGAAGCCTAAAGCTAAAATATTTAGGAAATTTTCAAAAATCGGAAAAAAATCCTCGTGACCCGATAGTACAAAGGTTCCTTAACTATAACACCAAAATATAATCCATAAAGAAATCCATTTAAGTTAGTAATCTCTGAACTTCAAAAAATACAATTAAATGAATAAAAGACTACCCACAGACTGGGAAAACATGTTTGCATATGACGTATGTAATAATGACAAATCCAGAAATCCAAAACATCGTAATGATAAAATAAACATTCCAAACAAAATAGGCAAAATATATAAGCAGACATTTCACCAAAGAATATATTCAGAGGAAACTAAGCACAGAAAATGCTGCCTAACATTATCTGTTCATTATAAATCCTTAATGAAATACCAGTACACATTTATTAGTATTGCCAAAGTTAAAAAAGACTACTTATAACAAATTTTGGCAAGGATTTGAAGCAATTAGACTTTCATAGATTGCTAATGGGAATGTAAAATGGTACAACTATTTACAAAAACAGTATGGCAGTTTTATACAAATACAGACATACATATACCATATGAATCAATTTTTCCGCCTATAGGTTTCTACTCAAGACAAATGAGAGATACGTCCATGGAAACATTTGTACGCATAAGCAGTTTATTTATAATAAGTAAAAAAATGTAAACAACCAAAATGATCATCAGCAAATAAATGGGTAAACAGTATGGTATATACATGCAATGGAATACTAATTAGCAATCAACAATAATAATCTAGTGTTACACACACAACATGGATAGATCTCAAAATAATCATCATGAATGGAAGAAGTAAGATAAAAAGTAAATACTGCATAATTCCATTCACATGAAATTCTAGAAAATTAATACTACTACTTGCAAAGAAAGCAAATCAATTTTTTCCAGGGAGAAGGTGGGTAGAGAGGGTTGGTAAGGAGAGATTATAAGTGTCACAATAAGCTTTGGAGGTAATGGATATGCTTATTGTCTTAATTTTATTTATGATTTTATGCATCTATATCCGTTCCAAACTTCCAAAATTTTAATATCTGCCAGGATGTTGAGTGCCAATTGTAACTCAGTGAATCATTTGAAAATAAATAAATGAATAAACAAATAATCATCTGATAAGATTATAATAGAATGTATTTGCTTTCCAGGACTGAGAGGAAAACTCCCGGTATAGTTATTTCACTTCTATGTAGAAAAGGTCACAGAGAAATCAATATCTATGTACTTAATTATATATATATTTTTTTACATAAATTTTTCCAGATGACCTCAAGCACCTAAATCATCTTTTAAAATGGTGATTGATGAATTCTCCAGAATTTATATTCTATAAAAGTTGATCAATACTATTTGAACCAGGAACATCAACACAAATTTTACCAGATTACCCACATCATCATAGTAGATATTAAACATATTTTCATTAAATATCTAGTTTTTAAAAATGTTTATTAAATTGACAAATTTAAATTGACAAATAATAATTGTACATATTCATGAGGTACATAGTAATGTTTTGTTACTTATAATGTATAGTGATCAGATCTGGGTAATTAACATTTATTAATCTTTTGTTTTGGGAATGTTGAATATCCTCCTCTTAGCTATTTGAAACTATGTATTACTGTTAACTATAGCCATGCTTTAGTGCTACAGAACACTAGAATGTATTCTTCCTATCTAGCTGCAATTTTATATCCTTTAACAAATCTCTTCCTATCTCTCCCTTCTCCCTACCATTCTCAGCCTCTAGTATCCTTTGTTCTACTTTTTACTTAGATGCTAGAGGCCTGATGCCAACTATACATGTAACAAAATCCCCCCTCTAGAGCATCGGCTGGCTTGCCTTAAATTCATCTTTCATGCATGGTACCAGTCATAACAACTAAAAATGACTTTTTATCTGATATAAAGAACAAAATATTGTTTTGTACGTGCTTGCTAATATTATCTAATAGGCCTCTATGTGGTAAAAAGTAATGTGTGGCAAACTTTGGTTTGAGATGTATTTTAATTATAATTTGGCAGCAAGGTTTCAGTGTAATATCACTAAGCTTTATCTGCCTTAATTTTTTCACTGAATACAGTGTACACACTAAGAATTGTATTTAACTCAATTTGTTCTCAGGTGATACAAGAGAGTAAAAATCACTTTTTAAACATTTTAAGACATTGAAATCTTCAGCACTCTTTATTTAAATTATGCCACTTTTATTATCTCTAGTTAATATTCCCAGATAGCTATTCATTTTGAAACTTCAGATTTTAAAAATGTCTGTATTGAAGAGCATCAGTCTAACAGGGTAGCTTTATTATTGTTGTCATATTTGAAACATTCTTAAGAATAGCAATCAAAAATATAAAAGCAAACTTTCAAAGTAAACTTGAAAGCAGCTTTTTCTTTCTTTTTTTATTATTATACTTTAAGTTCTGGGTTACATGTGCAGAACGTGCAGGTTTGTTACACAGGTATACATGTGCCATGGTGGTTTGCTGCACCCATCAGCCCATCACCTACATTAGGTATTTCTCCTAATGTTATCCCTCCCCTATCCCCCAACCCCTCCGACAGCCCTAACTGGAAATACCATTTGACCCAGAAATCCCATTACTAGGCATATATCCAAAGGACTATAAATCATTCTACGATAAAGACACATGCACATGTATGTTTATTGCAGCACTATTCACAATAGCAAAGACTTGAACCAACCCAAATGCCCATCAATGATAGACTGGATTAAGAAAATGTGGCAGGTATATGCGATGGAATACTATGCAGCTATAAAAAAGGATGAGTTCATGTCCTTTGCAGGGACATGCATGAAGCTGGAAGCCATCATTCTCAGCAAACTGTCATAAGATCAGAAAACCAAACACCACATGTTCTCACTCATAAGTGTGAGTTGAACAATGAGAACACATGGATACAGGAAGGGGAACGTCACACACCAGCTTCTTCTTTCTAAGAGTAGGGCTTTAAATTTAACTTTGGAATCTATTGTCTCTCTGTTCTTTGGAAAAGCCTTTGAATGATCATTTCCATTAAGGACATTAAGATGTAAATGATAATGGAGAATCTTAATTTAGTAATTTAAATTATTTTATTTTATTTTATTTTGAGATAGAGCTTTGCCCTGTAACCAGGCTGGAGTGCAGTGGCGCGATCTCGGCTCACTGCAACGTCCACCTCCCGGGTTCATGCCATTCTCCTGCCTCAGCGTCCCGAGTAGCTGGGACTACAGGAGCCTGCCACCATGCCTGGCTAATTTTTGTATTTTTAGTAGGGATGGGGGTTTCACCATGTTGGCCAGGGTGGTCTCGATCTCTTGACCTCATGATCCACCCGCCTCGGCCTCCCAAAGTGCTGGGATTACAGGCATGAGCCTCCACGCCCGGACATCAGTTGTATTTTTTAAGCAAGTCTCTCTTCATAGATTCTATTCCTGATACAGTATATACATGTGTTCTTAAATACAGAATTATACACCCCACACGCACTTGTCATGATTGTGCGTTATCACTTGCCTGTTGTTCCTTCGGTATTATTTGAATAATTACACAAAAAGGCTTGCCAATATAGAATAACAGTTTCCTCTCAACTTCTGCCCAAAGAAAATCAAGAGAAGCAAAACAAAGTTTGATGAAGTACCAGGTGGATTGGACTGTTAAGTTCCATATGTGGAGTTATTTCGTACCCAATAACCCAGACCTTTGCAAATGTCATGAGATTGAAATTTGGATTATTTATTTATTTATTTTTGCAACCCTACTCCTGATGCTGGAGGTGGTGTTTATTACCTCCTGACAATTATCCTGGACCAAAGCCAATCTTCTGGCAAAAGATTAGTACTTGGAGAATAGGACTACACTAGTCTGAAAGGCAAATGGTTGACTCTCTTAGGCCTTAGAGAGACAGGTTCTTGACTTACAGCAAAAGGAGGTGATGCCCAAACCCCTCCTCACTGCAAATAGGAGTGTTGTTGAGATGATTGTCTTTCCTCTACCACAATGACCCATACTAGAGGTTGAGCAATAAACTGCATAACTTTCGAAATGCTATAGAGGAGATTGAGTCTTTGGATTCTCCAGGCAGCCATACTTAATCTAACAGTTTGAAATATTTGCTTTGTAATTCTAATATTTCAGTGAAGAAGATGAAGTTTCTTCTTCATTGAAAGAAAATAAAGGTCACGTCTGTGATCATCGTTCGAGACCAAGTACCAAAGAAAACAGCAACATCTGGCTGAAGGAGGCTTCTTCTGAGATGGCAACAGGCAACTGCAGAAGAGAGGAGGGTAGTTTGTAATTAGACTGATGGCAAGCAACATTTGGGCATGTGCAAAAATATCTCTGATCACTGTGTTTTCACCTTAAAAGGAAGTGTGACTCAAAGTTAGGAACCATTATTTATATACAGCTTTTGTCATTCAGTTCACTGACAAGAGTTAAAAGGCACTTTATTTTATTTACAATATCTCAGTAGACTTTGATACTAAATAATATAAAGTGTGAAAAAACTGTATATGTAAAAGAATATAGTAGGCATACTTTGGTTAGAATTGTGAATTTGGGGAGAAACTAAACTCTAATAATAGGTAATTAGGAAAATTATAATAGATTTACTTATTCAAGCTCTTGTAACCACTAATAAATGGTTATGAAGCCTCTGTCAATATACAGGTAAATGCTTATTGTAAATTGTTAAGTGAAAAAAATGATGGATATAAAATGTCATGCCATGACAAGAGCAATTGTACTAGAGAAGAAAACAATCAGGAAATAATATACAAAAAGGATTGGAAGGGTTATAGTAGGGTTGTTCAATTATAATTATTTTAATTATTTTCTTCCAGAGTACTAATTATATTAAATAGCTTTTATAATTAAAAATAAAGAAGAGATACATTTAAAAAGAAGAAAGGCAGACTTATCTATCTAGGTAGACTGAACACTGAGACAAGAGGCAAACACAAAAAGCTAATTGAGGTACTTTGGTTGCTCAAACAAGAGTGTAGGTGGAATAAGAACTTTTTATTCTGCCAGGCAACTAAATTTCATTGTTTACCTAGGCAGAAAGCCAAAGCACCATAGTCCAAGATCAAAATATTTTGCAGGTTAGAAATTTTTATTTGTGAAAAGAGAGCTTATTCAAACAAATTTGACTGCCTATGGCCAGAAATTATGTTTTCTTGTTCCGCAAATCTGTCAGGGTCTACAGGAAGTGCTCATCCTTCATCAGGATGAAGTTCTCTGGGTCTTTGGCTTGATGAGAGGAGTCAATTCATGGTCCTTGAATTCTCCCGTAGTAGATAAAGGGAGGGAAAAGGCTGTTAATACTTTTCTCTTTATTTTTTATAATTTTCTTACATTATTTTATTGACTGTTTTCCAAATAGCCAACAGATAGGGCGGTGAAGTACATTAATGTGTTATTATACAATATAATGCTAATATCAGTTTTGATTTCAACACCAAGGAAAGATATGTATCCAAAATATCTACATTGATGCTGTGATGAAAATAGAAGGCATGCATCTTCAGGGGTTTTAAGCTTCTCATTTTTTTCTTTCCTTGATTTCTAGCCCTCTTCTCTATTTCTCATCATTTCTTTTTTCTTTACTCTCTCCCTGTCAATATTTATTCTGAGGAAAGGATCTGAGTTAAAAACAAAGTTTCACTTGTCTTTTAAACTGTGTAAAAAATTAACTCTTCCTGGAAGATGAGCATTTCAAAATGAGCAAAGTTTTAACTTTCAGTAAAATTTTGACTACTGTAAATAGTCCAGGTAGATTTGGGCTGGAAGGTGGATAAAAGTTATGGAGTAATAAGTAACATTATGTCATCTAGACTAGGCCTTAAATCAAACTTTTTTTGTGTTTTTTTAGTGGGTTTGAACCTTTAATAAAAATAAAAAATGAATGCAAAAAGAACACAATGTTGAAAACTTAGTATGAGTGAATCTCACTAGATGTTTAAATCTGGTAGAGTGTAAATTTTGTTCATACAGTTTTACATTTTTACAACTCAAATAACTTTGATTCATATATTTGCTATAAACTATTGGCAAGAAAAATCTTTGAATTTACATTTTTTTGGGTTACATAATTTCTAACTGATATAGATTTACTTTCAGTTTAAGAGAAAAAGACTTATTGTGTGTGCATGATCACGTCTGTTTTAAAGATTCAATCACTGCTTTCTTCTAATAACTTCTGGTTTTTCATAAAATGCTGACATCATCATTGGAAATTTTTTTCATGTAATTAATTGTTTTCATTTTCAGAACATTTATAAGGGATCATTCCAAAGTTCAGAATGCTCCTATTTTTTAAAACAAAATTCCTCTAAACCAAATTAGCTTCAGGAACTTAAAAATGTACTCCAAGACACTTCCCTCATAACAAAGCAAAAAACTCCAGCAAGGATCATCACACACATGGAACGAAACACAAAGACCAGCACTCACAGGCAGCTTCCTCCAAGCTTCCATTGTGCTGACTGGTGACTTCTATTTAAGAGGAGTCTTTTAATCAACACTTTCACAGAATTTAAAACAAACCAAATACACGTAAAATGCAAAATACAGAAAGGTAAATTTGTAAGTGAAAATTACTAAAACTCACAAAACTGGAGTATTTAAAAGGTTGAGCGTTCAGTGGAGGTTATAACACAGAAGGAACTGACTAAAATATCTACCTCCTGAAGGAGGAAGAAAGAAGAGATTTGTTTTGTCATTCAGATCACTTCTAGCTTCCTCCTCCCCACATGGATGGTGCTAGAGGGTATATGTGCAGGAGGCAAACAGACAAAGCTAACAGAAAACGTAGTTGCTCATAAGAAATATATACATGGAAAGAGCAAGAAAGCAATAGAGTGTGATGATGTCATTTGAAATCCTGAATTCAAACCATACTTGTTCATCCTATTTTCTCTTTCCCAATCATCATAGTCATCATCTACTTAGATAAAATTTATAGATCACTTACTACGTATAAGTCACCAGATTGAGGATATTCTGTGAGTATTGTCAATGCAATTTTTGTAATCTGGTAAAAAAGAGTTCTATTATTTTCTTTTTATAGATGAAAAAGTAGAAGGTCAGAGAGTTTAAGTCACGGATTGAATTTCCCAGAAAGCAGGCTCTAATATGGAGTTTAGCAGGCAGGGTGTTTATTAAGGGGTGCTCCTGAGACCAACACCTATGGGATGGAAGAATAGAAAGTAGGGGTGGGAAGATGCGGAAGAGGAGCAGCAGTGCAGGCCTACAAGTGTTGCAAGAACCACTGAGAGCCCTTGGGCTATGCTGGTATTTCAAAGATGTTCCATTGGAACACAAAATTACTTCTGTGTAGCCCACTTGATCGGTTCTTAGTGAGCCATCTTGGGAAGAGGGTGTGACTTTAGATGAGGCAGAATTTTTCAACAAAAGCAATTGGAGGCTGGGGCCTCTAGTATTCTCCATAGTTGAAACATCAAGCCTCTCACTGAAGAAAGATCTTGGTAGTGAATCACTGTGTATACCACAATAAGCAACTAATTCAGGATGTCATAAGAGGAGCAGGACACAAATCTTAGCAGTCTGAGTATAAATATTGATCTAAAACTTTAGTACACATGGACACAAAGATGGGAACAATGGGGACTAGAAGGAGGAGGAGGGAGGAAACTGGGTGAAGGTTGAAAAACAATGTATTGGGTACTATGCTTACTATCTGGGTGACAGCATCATTTGTAACCAAAACCTCAGCATCCTGCAATATACCATGTAACAAACCTGCACATGTACACCCTGAACCTAAAACAAAAGATGAAATTAAAAAAAAATAGGCCTGGTGCAGTGGCTCACACCTATAATCCCAGCACTTTGGGAGGCTGAGAAGGATGGATTACTTGAGGTCAGGAGTTCGAGACCAGCCAGGCCAGTGTTGTGAAATCCCATTTCTATTAAAAATACAAAGAAATTAGCTGGGTTGGTGGTGGGCACCTCTAATCCCAGCTACTTGGGAGGCTGAGACAGGAGAATCTCTTGAACCTGGGAGGCAGAGGTTGCAGTGAGCCGAGATCGTGCCACTGCCCTCCAGCCTGGGCAACAGAACAAGACTCAGTCTCAAAAAATAAAATAAAATAAAATAAAATAAAATAAAATAAAATATAAAATAAAATCTGATCTCAACCATTAACATTCTATTGCCTCCTTTCAGGCTAATCAGAATTGTGTTCTCACACTTGGAGTGGAAAGAGTACTGGATAACATGATGTTATCCTATTCTTTTTTTTAGCTCTCCTTACTGGCTTTCCTGGCACTTGTGTTACAAATTCTTCTAAAAGTTATGTATATGCTTTTTGTGTAAGGAAATGTAATTTGGATAGCTTTGTTAAAGTAAAAAACCCCTGTCCAACTTCAGTACAGGTATTGATTTTTAGAAATGGCGTTCCTATCTTTCTCTCTCAGAGTGAATCGAAATTTTAAAGAAATGTCTCAGAACCATAGCCATTTTCTTCAGAACACATTTCTCAGCATGTAATTGCACATTTGTTTGTTAGATTATTTGGAAATGTTTTACAATGATTTACTGAATGGGTGAGTGAATGAATGATTTTTTTAAGAACTGATGCTATTTTCGTATATCATTTACCATTATAATTCATCCAAAGAGAGTAAAATGTTTGGGCCTTTTGGTATAAGGGTAAAATATGGCAGTTTTACTTTCAGCTACTCTTTCTCAATCACATTTTTAAAGTTGAGGTCACAATTTAAACCCTATGTACCAGAAGGATGATGTGTTAGTTGAAGAGAAAGTTGAATACTTCTTTTTAAAAAAGAAATTGAAGCAATCTTTTTTTTATTAAGCAAAAGAAAATATATCCTATAACAAATAGCATTTGAAAATAATATGGAGACTTTGCAGTACCTGAAGGGAAGATTGGTAAAATAAGGATATGTGGATTAGATTGAAAATAGCATTCAAATCTTCTTCCTGATTTCACAGACACTGTATTTTTAGTTAACAAGTTTTAATAAGGTTGGTTGCTTGTTATGCCATTTAAGTTTATATCTAGAATTACTCAAAGAGTATGGAATACACAAGACAGGTTTATATACCTTTAAAAACAGCAACATATTCTTGCTAAAATCATAATGGTTCAATGAGGGAAAAGTGGTTTCAAACTATTGATTTTTAGACATAACTATCTCAATCATTTGGATTTCAGTTAAGTGTTAGGAAACATAATAGAAAAAAAGTGAAATAAGAGAGTAATTACTGAAGCAGAGCTGGTGCTGGTCGATTTTTTTTTTTTAAGTAGATGCATTGCAAACTGAAGCTGCAGTTGACAATTTGATCTCCAGAGGAATAGATAGATACAGACGGCTTTATAAGGTCAATGCGGCAAGAAAGGTGTAAACCTGTAAAGGTTGGTACCATTAAAGCAAAACCAAAAGTTGAGAAAGCACAAACTGAGATGAAAGTGAAAAAGAAGGAGCTCAAAAGTTAACAGTGTAAGAGCAAGGATTAAAGACAAGAAGAGAAAGAAATCAGAAGATAATATTTTTAAAAACAATAAAACAACTTTTTCTGATATGTGTGTAGTCACCCCTGCTGTCTTTTGACTTTCATTTGTATTGCAGGTCCTTTCCATTTCTTCACTTTCAATCTATGCATATTCTTACTAGTAAAGTGAGTCTTTGATAAGCAGTATATAGTAGGGTCTTTTTATTCAGCCACTGTATGTTTTTTTGATTGGATAATTTAATCAATTTTCATTCAAGGTAATTATGCTAGGTAAGCATTTTCTAGTGCCATTTTATAATTTGTTTTCTGATTGTTTTGCAGATGTTTTGCTTTTTTCTTCCTTTTTGCAGTTTTCCTTTGTGATGTGACATTCTTCTGTAGGAGTATGCTTTGAATCCTTTCTTTTTCATGGTTGTATAACTGTTACAGGTCTTTGCTTTGTCATTACCATCAGGCTTACATAAAACATAGTATACTTAATAACAGGTTATGTTAATCAACTTGATTTAATAATTCCACATTGTATACATGTAATGAATTATACTCCATAAATGTATACAATTATAATTTGTTAGTTACAAATATTAATTTCTAAATAGAAAATAAAGACTTGTAAGAATGTACCAGTTAACCCTTTTACCTATAAGCGTATCATTTGCTAACAGCAGTTAACTTTTTATAAGTGCAAATGGCACACAGCACACTAGTTAACAACAACAAAAAAATAGTATTTATTTTAATATAAAAGAGTCATTGTGGAGCATGTTTAAGTTGCCTGACCCAGAGAGGTAAACTTTTCACTTTCTAATGCCTAGTCCCTTTGTTTGCTAAGGGCAGATATTTTTGTTAACTGATCAGTTTAAAATTACCTGGATTAAGTTTAAAATTTATTCAAACCAACTAAGCTAACTCACTTGGAGGTAGAGAACAGGATAAGAACAAGAAATAGTTTTCTATAGTAGGTTTTTATCTGCAGACTTGTATGTTTCTTTAGATTAGAAGAATCATATTCTTCCTTATTTCCTACCCTAATTTCCTAGCCTCATAATTTGCCTCATTGTGGTGAAGGAAATTTAACAAATGTATTTTACATTCTTCAAATGTTATACACTTGATGACAGCTGCTACGCTGTGTTCATTTTCTGAAAGTCCATCTGTCAACCTTAAGGGATCACTTGGTTTAACAAGTCAGAGAAGTAATATTTTCAAGAAAAAAGTTACTTTATTGCTTATATTGAGTTTTCCATAAATTAGAATAAATACAGAAGTATATATTAAATAGTATACAGTTTTTAAAAATCAATTTCTATTATTCATTAATTCACATCAAGGAACAGTAAAGTAAAAGGGAAAGATTTTGAGGCAATTGAATGTTTTTGCCAATTACTCTTTCCTGATCTAACCTGTAATACTGAATTAATTATGTTTACTCATCCTTTCTTAAGGTTGAAAGAAAAATAATGATTTCTATCTAGATATGCATTCTTTTCCAGAAAATATTTACTAAGATATATTTGTTATAGGAGATAACATTATGTTATCTCCTAAGCAGATGTAGGAGCAATTTTACACTTCCATTCTTTGATATACAATCTGAATTTAAAACAAACAAACCAAACAAGCAAACAAACAAAAAAAATCTCCCCAGGTACATTAATAGAATATGTGTACTGTAATTTTTATTTTAGCTTTAGTAGGCAGTTTATACTCTAGGATCAGAATAATTTTTTAGTACCATTTCTTATATATTTAAAAGGAAATTGTACCCATATCATATGAATAACCCCTCAGCATGTAAATCAAATAGCTCTGTGTGTCATTGAATCTCTTGATCTCTTTGTGGCATTTGTTATTTCCTACTCTCTTTTATTACCTGGCGTAGAATTATTCAAAGTTATCTTTTCTTCATGACATCTGTAACCTGGCTCATTCTCTTTGACTTATGCACTTAATAGAGTTGTTTCTCAGATATCTGCCCTAAGACTTGACTCTTCAGCATCAAAACTCTCACCCATTGCAATCTCATACAACTTACGATGTCGACGATACTTCTCTATCCATAGAAGTCCAAATATTACACCTCAACCATGGCCTCTCTCTCGAAGTTTCTAGCCAATACATAAAGGTCTTCACTGAAAATAACCATTTTGAACCTTACCAACAACTCAAATTAACACGTCTAGCACTGCATTAATCAGCTTTCTCCCAACCTTATTTTTGTCAATGTTCTGTACTTCTATTAGTATATTATTTTATGTTATTTTTCATATTGTGTTTTTAGTATTTTTACATGATATAATAAATATGTGTAAGTATATCTAGCTTAATCTCTAACCTCCAATTTAAAAAAATATCTCTTATCAGCTTAAATTGTAGCTCTATGTGGTACAGAACTGAGGTACTGGTGGAGAGAGAGAGAAATAGGAGGCACTGCCTTGATAGATTTAAATAGGCAACTACAGACCATCTCTATCAGAAAATCAAGTAATAGATCTAAAGGTGAGATAAACTAGTAAAGGAAGATTGGAAACAGTATGTGCTTGCTTCAGGGGAAGTTTTGGAGACTTTACAGAAAAGAAGAGATATTTGAACATTGGAAGAGAGATTGAATATTGGAACAAAGGAAAAAGAAACATTTGATATCTTTGCATTACCTATAATAAATTGCATACAGGATTTCACAATAAATTACTTATGCATTTTTAGAACAATAAATATAATGAAAATGCCTTTCTTTTTTTATTATACTTTAAGTTCTGGGATACATATGCAGAACATTCAGGTTTGTTACATAGGTATACACGTGTCACGGTGGTTTGCTGCACCCATCAAGCCATCATTTCCATTAGGTATTTCTCCTAATGCTATCCCTACCCTAGCCTGCCAACCCCCAACAGGCACCGATGAGTGATGTTCCCCCTCCCTATGTACATGTGTTCTCATTGTTCAACTCCCACTTATGAGTGAAAACTTGCAGTTTTTGGTTTTCTGTTCCTGTGTTAGTTTGCTGAGAATGGTGGTTTCCAGCTTCATCCATGTCCCTGCAAAGGACACGAAGTCATCCTTTTTTATGGCTGCATAGTATTCCATAGTATATATGTGCCACATTTTCTTTATCCAGTCTATCACTGATGGGCATTTGGTTTGGTTGAAAGTCTTTGCTATGGTAAATAGTGCTGTAATAAATATATGCATGCATGTGTCTTTATCGTAGAATGATTTATAATCCTTTGGGTATATTACCCTGTAATGGGAATGCTGGGTCAAGTGGTATTTCTGGTCTAGATCCTTGAGGAATCACCACACTGTCTTCCAAAATGGTGGAACCAACCAGCAGTGTAAAAGCATTCCTATTTCTCCACATCCTCTCCAGAATCTGTTGTTTCCTGACTTTTTAATGATCATCATTCTAACTGGCATGAGATGGTATCTCTTTGTGGTTTTGATTTGCATTTCTCTAACGACCAGTGATGATAAACTTTTTTTCAGATGTTTTTTGGCCACATAAATGTCTTCTTTTGAGAAGTGCCTGTTCATATCTTTTGCTCACTTTTTGATGGGGTTGTTTGTTTTTTTTTTCTTGTAAATTTGTTTAAGTTCCTTGTAGATTCTGGATATTAGCCCTTTGTCAGAAGGATAGATTGCAAAAGTTTTCTCCCATTCTGTAGGTTACCTGTTCACTCTGGTGATAGTTTCTTTAGCTGTGCAGAAGCTCTTTCGTTTAAGTAGATCTCATTTGTCAATTTTGGCTTTTGTTGCCATTGCTTTTAGTGTTTTCATCATGAAGTCTTTGCCCATGCCTATGTCCTGAATGGTATTGCCTAGGTTTTCTTCTAGGGTTTTTATGGTTTTAGGTCTTACATTTACGTCTTTAATCCATCTTGAGTTAGTTTTTGCATAAGGTGAAAGAAAGGGGTTCAGTTTCAGTTTTCTGCATGTGGCTAGCCAGTTTTCCCAACACCATTTATTAAATAGGAAATCCTTTCCCCATTGCTTGTTTTTGTCAGGTTTTTCAAAGATCAGATGGTTGTAGATGTGTGGTGTTATTTCTGAGACCTCTGTTCTGTTCCATTGGTCTATATATCTGTTTTGGTGCCAGTACCATGCTGTTTTGGTTAGTGTAGCCTTGTAGTATAGTTTGAAGTCAGGTAGCATGATGCCTCCAGCTTTGTTCTTTTTGCTTAGGATTGTCCTTGCTATATGGGCTCTTTTTTGGTTCCATATGAAATTTACAGTAGTTTTTTTTTTTCTAATTCTGTGAAGAAAGTCAATGGTAGCTTGATGTGGATAGCATTGAATCTATAAATTACTTTGGGCAGCATGGCCATTTTCACAATATTGATTCTTTCTATCCATGAGCATGGAAAGTTCTTCTATTTGTTTGTGTCCTCTTTTATTTCCTTGAGCAGTGGTTTGTAGTTCTCCTTGAAGACGTCCTTCACATCCCTTGTAAGTTGGATTCCTAGGTATTTTATTCTCTTTGGAGCAATTGTGAATGGGAGTTCACTCATGATTTGGCTCTTCGTTTGTCTGTTATTGGTATATAGGAATGCTTGTGATTTTTGCACATTGATTTTGTATCCTGAGACTTTGCTGACGTTGCTTATCAGCTTAAGGAGATTTGGGGCTGAGATGATGGGGTTTTCTAAATATATAATCATGTCATCTGCAAACAGAGACAATTTTACTTCCTCTCTTCCTATTTGAATATCCTTTATTTCTTTCTCTTGCCTGATTACTCTGGCCAGAACTTCCAATACTATGTTGAATAGGAGTTGTGAGAGAGGGCATCCTTGTCTTGTGCCAGTTTTCAAAGCGAATGCTTCCAGCTTTTGCCCATCAGTTTGATATGGGCTGTGGGTTTCTCATAAATAGCTCCTATTATTTTGAGATGCATTCCATTGATACCTAGTTTATTGAGAGTTTTTAGCATGAAGGGTTGTTGAATTTTATCGAAGGCCTTTTCTGCATCTATTGAGATAATCATGTGGTTTTTGTCATTGGTTCTGTTTGTGTGATGGATTATGTTTATTGATTTGTGTATGTTGAATCAGCCTTGCATCCCAGGTATGAAGTTGACTTGATAGTGGTGGATAAGCTTTTTGATGTGTTGCTGGATTCGGTTTGCCAGTATTTTATCGAGGATTTTCGCGTCGATGTTCATCAGGGATATTGGCCTGAAATTTTCTCTTTTTTTGTGTCTGTGCCAGGTTTTGGTATCAGGATGATGCTGACCTCGTAAAATGAGTTAGGGAGGAGTCCCTTTTTTTCTATTGTTTGGAATAATTTCAGAAGGAATGGTACCAGCTCCTCTTTGTATCTCTGGTAGAATTCAGCTGTGCATTCATCTGGTCCTGGGCTTGTTTTTGTTGGTAGGCTATTAATTGCTGCCTCAATTTCAGAACTTGTTATTGGTCTATTTGTGGATTTGACTTCTTCCTGATTGAGTCTTGAGAGGGTGTATGTCTCCAGGTATTTATCCATTTCTTCTAGATTTTCTAGTTTATTTGCATAGAGGTGTTTACAGTATTTTCTTGTGGTAGTTTGTATTTCTATGGGATCAGAGTGATGATCGCCCCTTCATTATTTTTTATTGTGTCTATTTGATTCTTCTCCCTTTTCTTCTTTATTAGTCTGGCTAGTGGTCTCTCTATTTTCTTAATCTTTTCAAAAAATCAGCTCCTGGATTCATTAATTTTTTTAAGGGTTTTTCATGTCTCTATCTCCTTCAGTTCTGTTCTGATCTTAGTTATTTCTTGTCTTCTGCTAGGTTTTGAATTTGTTTGCTCTTGCTTCTCTAGTTCATTTAATTGTGATGTTAGGGTGTCAATTTTAGATCTTTCCCACTTTCTCCTGTGGGCATTTAGTGCTATAAATTTGCCTCTCAACACTGCTTTAGCTGTGTCCCAGAGATTCTGGTAGGTTGTGTCTTTGTTCTCATTGGTTTCAAAGAATTTATTTATTTCTGCCTTAATTTCATTATTTATCCAGTAGTTATTCAGGAGCAGGTTGTTCTGTTTCCATGTAGTTGCATGGTTTTTAGTGAGTGTCTTAATCCTGAGTTCTAATTTGATTTCACTGTGGACTGAGAGACTGTTTGTTATGATTTCCATTCTTTTGCATTTGCTGAGGAGTGTTTTGCTTCCAAGTATGTGGTCAATTTTAGAATAAGTGTGATGTGTTGCTGAGAAGAATGTATATTCTGTTGATTTGTGGTGAAGAGTTCTGTAGATGTCTATTAGGTCCACGTGATGCAGAGCTGAGTTCAAGTCCTGAATATCCTTGTAATTTTCTGTCTTGTTGATCTGTCTAATATTGACACTGAGGTGTTAAAGTCTCCCACTATTATTGTGTGGGAGTCTACATCTCTTTTTAGGTCTCTAAGAACTTGTTTTACAAATCTGGGTGCTCCTACATTAGGTGCATGAATATTTAGGATAGTTACCTCTTCTTATTGCGTTGATCCCTTTACCATTATATAATGCCCTTCTTTGTCTCTTTTGATCTTTGTTGGTTTAGAGTCTGTTTTATCAGAGACTAGGATTGCAACCCCTGCTCTTTTATTGCTTTCCATTTCCTTGGTAAATATTCCTCCATCCCTTTATTTTGACCCTAGATGTGTCTTTGCATGTGAGATGGGGTCTCCTGAATACAGCACACCAATGGTTCTGGACTCTATCCAATTTGCCAGTCTGTGTTTTTTAACTGCGGCATTTAGTCTGTTTACATTTAAGGTTAATATTGTTATATGTGAATTTGATCCTGTCCCTATGATGCTAGCTGGTTATTTTGCCCATTAGTTGATGCAATTTCGTCATGGTGTTGATGGTCTTCACAATTTGGTATGTTTTTGCAGTGGCTGTTAAGGTTTTTTTTCTTTTCATATTTAGTACTTTCTTCAGGAGCTCTTGTAAGTCAGGCCTGGTGGTGACAAAATCTCTCAGCATTTGCTTGTCTGTAAGGGATTTTATTTCTCCTTCACTTATGAAGCTTAGTTTGGCTGGATAGGAAATTCTAGGTTGAAGATTCTTTTCTTTAAGAATGTTGAATATTGGACCCCACTGTCTTCTTGCTTGAAGGGTTTCTCCAGAGAGATCTGCTGTTATTCTGATGGACTTCCCTTTATAGGTAACCCGACCTTTGTCTTGGGCTGCCCTTAACATTTTTTCCTTCATTTGAACCTTGGTAAATGTGACGATTATGTGTCTTGGGGTTGTTCTTCTCAAGGAGCATCTTTCTGGCGTTCTCTGTATTTCCTGAATTTGAATGTTGGCCTGTTCTTGCTAGGTTGGGGAAGTTCTCCTGGATAACTTGAAAAGTGTTTTTCATCTTGGTTCCATTCTCCCCGTCACTTTCAGGTACACCAATCAAACGTAGGTTTGGTCTTTTCACATAGTTCCATATTTCTTGGAGGGTTTATTAGTTCCTTTTCATTCTTTTTTCTCTAATCTTGTCCTCACACTTCATTAAGTTAATCTTCAATCTCTAATATCCTTTCTTCTGTTTTATCAATTTGGCTTTGATACTTGTGTATACTACACGAAGTTCTCCTGTTGTGTTCTTCAGCTCCATCAGGTCACATATGTTCTTCTCTAATCTGGTTATTCTAATTAGCAATTCCTCTAACCTTTTTTCAAGGTTCTTAGCTTCCTTCCATTGGGTTAGGACATGCTGCTTTAGCTCGGAGGAGTTTGTTATTACCCACCTTCTGAAGCCTACTTCTGTCAATTCGTCAAACTCATTCTCCACCCAGTTTTGTTCCCTTGCTGGCGAGCAGTTATGATCCTCTGGAGAAAAAGAAGTGTCCTGATTTTTGGACTTTTCACCCTTTTTGCTCTGTTTTTTCCTCATCTTCGTGGATTTATCTACCTTTGGTGTTTGATCTTGGTGACCTTTGGATGTGGTTTATGTGTGGACATCCTTTTTGTTGATGTTGATGCTATTCCTTTCTCTTTGTTAGTTTTCTTTCTAACAGTCAGGCCCCCCTGCTGTAGGTCTGCTGGAGTTTGCTGGAGGTCCACTCCAGGCCCTGTTTGCCTGGGTATCACCAGCAGAGGTTGCAGAACAGCAAAAATTGCTGCCTGTTCTTTGGTCTGGAAGCTTCGTCCCAGAGGGGCACACACCAGATGCCAGCCGCAGCTCTCCTGTATGAGGTGTCTGTTGATTCCTGCTGGGAGATGTTTCCCAGTCAGGAGGCACAGGGGTCAGGGACCCACTTGAGGAGGCTGTCTGTCCCTTAGCAGAGCTTCAGTGCTGTGTTGGGAGAGCTTCTCCTCTCTTCAGAGCTGGCAGGTGGGAACATTTAAGTCTGCTGAAGCTGCACCCACAGCCGCCCCTTTCCCCCAGGTGCTCTATCCCAGGGAGATGGGAATTTTATCTATAAGCCCCTGATGGGGGCTGCTTCCTCTCTTTCAGAGATGCCCTGCCCAGAGAGGAGGCATCTCTAAAATGCCTTTCAAATGCATGCTGGATGTTTAACTGATTGACATTCCTTTGAAACCTACATCAACTCAGACTAGGCTGCAGGTAGATGAATTTTAGCAGCATTTCATACACTTGGCTCATATTTCTGTAGTTTTTCTAGCAAAACTTTCTTAAGTCAGAATCTCAATATTTTTATTCTTCCCAGAGACTCTCATATTTAGTCTTTTTTTTTTTTTTTTTTTGTGACAGTCTTGCCCTGTCACCCAGGCTAGAGTTCAGTGGCACGATCTTGGCTCACTGCAAGCTCCGCCTCCCAGGTTCACGCCATTCTCCTGCCTCAGCCTCCTGAGTAGCTGGGACTACAGGCACCCGCCACCACACCTGGCTAATTTTTTTTTTTTTTTGTATTTTTGGCAGAGACAGGGTTTCACCGTGTTAGTCAGGATGGTCTTGATCTCCTGACCTCGTGATCCGCCCGTCTCAGCCTCCCAAAGTGCTGGGATTACAGGTGTGAGCCACTGCGCCCAGCCTAGTCTTTAGTATTTATTGAGCAAAAAGTAAATGAATGATTGCAGACTCACTCATGTAATTATTATACGGTCCTCAAATCTTACCTTTACCATTTATTTCAAGATATATTTAAATTTCTGTATTTAATACTTTAAATTGTGAGTTTATCCAAATTTCTTAACTTGTATTCTCTTATAAACTCCTTTCCATTTATTGCATGTGCTATTTCTCATTAGTGACTTTGATTTGCCCATTTCTCATAGTCTAATTGCTGTTTTCAATTATGCAGATCCTTTGCTCTTTAATTCTGTGGTTTTTGCAGTAACAGACACACTGAACCAGCTAAAGCATACTAGAACCCTTGACTAGGAGCTGCAATGACTTGCTTGCTTCTGCTTTCCTCTTTTGCTCTGGGAATTTTCCTAGTGGTTGACTTAAATCTTGATAGTGGTGAAAATATTTGAAGCATGATTACACTTCCAAGAGCTTTATAACTAGTCTAAGGATTACTGAATTGAAGTTGTGACTCACTTAATTTCAAAGCAGCACAGCAAATAGTCTCTTTAGCTGAGGTACATAAATAGTATGGTTAGACTAAATCATGCTTAAGAATAAGTGGCAGTAGCTTTCCTTTCTAAGAACAAGAAATTTGAAAGGACATCAGTTCATTTCCTTTCAGCAAACTCTTGTTTTTGGCCCTGTAGTGTAATTGTAACTTTGGTTGAAGCATCCAATTCCACGTGTTATCACTCTTGATGCAATAGCTTTCACATTTTCTTGGCTGTTACTTGCACAAATAAATTCAAGTACACATGGGATGGACACACACACATTTGCACACAGACACACATGTGAGGCAAAAGTGTCATAAAGCTATATTTATATACTTACAGTGCTTACAGTTACTATAATTCATTCTATTATTCTATATGTAAAATATATTATTATTGGTCATAGAAGTAGCAGTTCCTGCTAAATTCACTTCACATGACATAAAAGTGTTATGAACTACACTTTGAAAATCCCAGTCATGTGCAGATAACTTTGAATGAACTGGCTTTAGCAGGATATGGGATGGAGAACAGGCACAAAATAAGACTAGAGTAGTTTTGAGCAGTATCGTTAGAATGCCTTCTCTTAAGATATTACATACCTATGTGAAAGCACTCTGTGCTTTCCAATTTTACAAAGAATTTTTAAAATAACAAAATTTTAAATGGAAAATGTTTTACTGGAGTAATCATCATCACCATTAGTGCATATATACATTTGGAAAATATTTGAAACCTTGCAGTGTTAAAGATTTGCAAACTATCTGGTTTTCAAATTTCCTAGTAGTATTTCAATTTTTGGAGTACTTTTATAGCTGTGAAAACAATAATATTTGATGGAAAAAAAACTAGTTTTTAACTTTTTAAGGTCTTTAAAATGTTTTAAAAAAAATCCTAGGTCAAAATGAAAAATATGATGCCTGGTATTAAAACATCAGTTGTAGAATTCTAAGCATATATTAATAAAGATCAATATTTAGAAGAAAATAATAGATTTACTCAACCACTTAACGCCTTAAAATATTATAATTCATGATCTATTGTTAGATTCTATCTCCAACATCTGATTGAAAAAATGTACAGGGGATGTTAGATTCACAGTTTGATTGATAGCCTTAAGATGCATAAAGTGCATTAAAAATAAGGAATGTGGAAAGCGCAGGAAAGATCTAAGAGTCAGGGAAGTACCTACATTACCTGTAAAGAAAAACACTTCCATTGTGTTTTGTGTTAACATTCTAATGTGTCTAAATAGTCATGCCATCAAAACAGCCATGCCATAGTGGCTGTGCAAAGAAAACAAAACAACCTGGATGCTTATCCTATATCTGAGACAGCTGTTCAATGTGAAAAACTCATGTTGAGACTTGAAACAATTTAAAACAGATTCTTTATTTTATAAAATCTATTGGCCAGTAAAGTATGCTTTTTGAGCATAACATTTCATTCATTCATTTAATAAGTATCCATTGAATATTTTCTATGTGTCAGTGTATTAGATGCTAAGAATTTAATAATAGGCTATGTAGGGTCTCTGCCTTCTGGTTTTTTTTTCTATTTTTCTAATTTTTACTTTCTTTTCTAGTTTTTACTTCCTTTCCTATGAAAGGGTCACTTTCATGGACCTCATTCATTTTCTGTGGCAAGCAATTTTCTTTTCATCGATTTTCACTAATTGCTGACTCCTATATGCTTTTTGCTCAGCTGTTTCCTTTAATTTTAGTCAATGCCTAGAATGTGCTTAGAATTCTCCCAATGAGAATATCAACTCTCAATTCTGAGAAAGTTGGGACTTCCAGTCCAGTTGATCCCAAGGCACATAACTGCGTATCTATTGCTGTGTTACAAACAATCCCAAAATTAATAGGTCATTTCAATAATATTAACTTATTTTTCTTTACAAGTCTGCAATTCTGACAAGGCACAATGGAGAAAGCTTATTTCTGTATGATGTAGCATAGAGTGACTCAAATAAACTCCCGTGGCTTGAGGATCTATTTCCAAGTATGTGTACTAATGTGACTGTCAAGTTGATGGTGGCTGTCAGTTTGGAGCTCAGCTGTGGCTATTAGTTGCAAGCTTTAGTTTCCCTCCATGTGAGACCCTCCATGGAGCTGCATGAATTTAGATTCCCAACATTGCAGCTGGGTTCCAACAGTGAATGTGCTATGAAAACTAGGCAGAATGTGCAATGCTTTTTATGGCTGAATATTAGCAATCCCAGAGTATCACTTCTGCCAGATTCTATTGGTAAAGGAAGTCATAGACCTCAACTATTGATGGGAGAAAGTGAAAAATAATTTTTTTTCATCTTTAACTTAACAACCTAACAAATAAATATGTCTGATACCTCATTCCTAGCCTGGTCTTAGATATGGTTCTGAATCTACAGTTTGTCTTTCTCTTTTCTCTTTTACATACTCTTTTTTTCTCCTTCTCTTTCTACCTCTGCAGTATGTTAACACATCTTGGATTTATGGCTCCCCTATCCCTCTGTTTAGTTCTTCTCTACCTTGTACGTGTGTCATACAACGTAAAAAAAGGTATCCTGAGGGATGGATGAGGTTTCCACAATAGAGAGGGATTGACAGTGATACTTTCACCCTTTTGTTTGATTTGTGTTTCTGTGTATCGTGTTTTACCTGTGCCCAAGTCAGTGGTTCTTAAGTTTATGTTATCTAGTTTTAATGTAATTATCATCATAAAATATTGATGGTGGCCGGGCGCGGTGGCTCATGCCTGTAATCCCAGCACTTTGGGAGGCTGAGGCGGGTGGATCACCTGCGTTCAGGAGTTCAAGACCAGCCCGGCCAACATGGCGAAACCCCGTCTCTACTAAAAAATATAAAAATCAGCTGGGCGTGGTGGCACGTGCCTATAATCCTGGGTACTCCGGAGGCTGAGGCAGAAGAATCACTTGAACCTGGGAGGCAGAGGTTGCAGTGAGCCGGGATCATGCCATTGCACTACAGCCTGGGCGACAAGAGTGAAACTCCGTCTCAAAAAAAAAAAAAAAAAAAAAAAATTGTTGCTGGCATTTAAAATAATCACTCTAGAGAAGAAGCAGGTTTAATCTCTGGAGCTGAACAAGAAATTAACAAAACTAATATTTTACCTAGCGCTGTCTATAAGCTCTGCCTATATTTTTTCAATATACATTCTAAAAAGACAATCACAAAAAATCAGCCAACAATTGCAATTATCAAGACCTATTTAATATAGTTTGCAATCATAAAGATTGTTCTAAGTGTATTCCTTGTTTTGGGATTTTAGCTAATGATAACATCATGCATAGCTTCATATTTTACAATACTACCTAGCTTATCTATATGTAATCCCTTTAAATTTTAAAATGTGTGTATATTTTATAACGCATATAATACAGTGGTTAATAAAAACGTACATTAATTAGCAAAATATTTTACATAAATTAATAAATTTATACATAGTATGTATGTAAACATTTTCTACTGAGATAGTGGAAAGTTTAAATGTTTTCATAAGTGGCCTCTAATTCTTTGAAATAATTTTTATGCCTCGCCTTGTCGCCCAGGCTGGAGTGCAGTGGCGCAATCTCGGCTCACTGCAAGCTCCACCTCCCGGGTTCACGCCATTCTCCTGCCTCAGCCTCCGGAGTAGCTGGGACTATAGGCGCCCGCCCCCACGCCCGGCTAAGTTTTTGTATTTTTTAGTAGAGACGGGGTTTCACCATGTTAGCCAGGATGGTCTCGATCTCCTGACCTCATGATCCGCCCGCCTCGGCCTCCCAAAGTGCTGGGATTACAGGCGTGAGCCACGGCGCCCGGCCTAATTTTTATGTCTTTAGCGACCTGGTTCTATTCTACCAATATAATCCTAGAGCCACTACTGCACAGGACTAACTGTTGGCTCTCGATAAACTGAATTTTTTTTCTTTATTTGTTGATATGCTTTCAGCTGTATTTGGAAATTTCCTACACATTTGTCTGCATCACAAAGCTTTAATAATTAGAAAATTCCACCTTTTTTAAAAATTTTACTTTAAGTTCCAGGATACAAGTGCAGAACGTGTAGGTTTGTTACACAGGTATATGTGTACTATGGTGGTTTGCTGCACCTATTGACCCATCATCTAGGTTTTAAGCCCTGCATGCATTAGCTATTTGTCCTAATGGTCTCCCTCCCCTCACCCCCCACTTGCCGACTGGCCCCAGTGTGTGTAGTTCCCCTCTCTGTGTTCATGTGTTCTCAGTGTTAAACTTCTACTTATGAGTGAGAACATGTGGTGTTTAGTTTTATGTTCCTGTCTTAGTTTGCTGAGGATGATATCTTCCAGCTTCATTGATAGCCCTGCAAAGGACAGGAACTCATTCCTTTATATGTCCACATAGTATTCCATGGTGTAGATGTACCACCTTTTTTTTTTTATCCAGCCTATCTTGATGGACATTTGGGTTGGTTCTGTGTCTTTGCTATTGTGAATAGTGCTGCAATAAACATACATGTGCATGTGTCTATATAGTAGAATGATTTATATTCCTTTGGGTATACACCCAATAATGAAATTGCTGGGTCAAATGATATTTCTGGTTCTAGATCCCTGAGGAATCACCACAGTGTCTTCCACAATGTTTGAACTGATATACATTCCCACCAATTGTGTAACAGTGTTCCTATTTGACCACAGCCTCACCAACATCTATTGTTTTTTTGACTTTTTAATAATCACCATTCTGACTTGTGTGAGATGGTATTTTATTGTGGTTTTGATTTGCAGTGATTTTGAGGTTTTTTCATATGTTTGTTGGCCACATAAATGTCTTCTTTTGAGAAGTGTCTGTTTATATCCTTTGCCCACTTTTTGATGGAGTTGTTTTTTTTCTTGTAAATTTGTTTAAGTTCCTTGTATATTCTGGATATTAGGCCTTTGTCAGATGGGTAGATTGTGAAATTTTTCTCCCCTTCTGTAAGCTGCCTGTTCACTCTTATGATAGTTTCTTTAGCTGCGCAGAAGCTCTTTAGTTTAATTGAAAATTCCACCTTCTAGTTATCCTTAGTTACATTATTCCACTTTAATCTCTTCTTAATTTCTTAAGCACAAAGTATGTATTATAGAGCCATTTGTCTTATATTGTTGTTAATGTCGCTAATCTCTTCAGCTAGGTTGTAAACTCTCTGAAGTTAAAAAATATTTTTTAAACGTAACAACTGCTGAAAAAAAAAGAACAGGGAAGAAGCTAACGAAAAGAAAACTTAAGGACGGATATAGAACTGTTCTTATAGTTTGATGATTCATTTCAAATTTAGTATACAAAAATGTGATTGGAAAATTAGCTTTTTTTTGGATGTTGCTTCAGAATCAATATAGGCAAACATTTGTCTTATTTAGATTACATGCTAAAAAACTATTTCTTATGCTTAGCTGTATTAAGATATTATGGGCAATTTATCCTGACATTAGTTGTCCAAATCAATAGAGGAAAATCTCTCATAGTGTAATCTTTATTTCCTTCTCAAACAACTTCATTGGAAGTCGAGTTTACTATAACACAATATGATGAAAATAACTTTAGACTTTCAGACTTCTTGTAGTGTTTTGGCAATTATTGTTATCAGCATTCATGAGAACAGAAGTGAATTTCCTTGTGTATTAGAGTGCTTCACTTCTTTTATTCATTTTGCAGTCATGATCTCTTTGGTTCACAGCTTTCTTTCTTTGAGAAAATTCATGCTGGCAAATTGAAACTAAGATGCCTCCAAAAGTCCTAAAATTCCAAAGTATACAATAGTGGAATTATTTGATTATTATTGAGAATGTACTATAGATGACTTGACTAACTAAGCACTTTATGTGGACTATCTTCTTTATTCTTTACCTCCTTCATTCCTAAACCTGAAACAGTGCCTGAGACACAATCTTGTGTGCAAGTGGTTTATTTCAAAAGCTATAAATGGAATAAACGATAAGAGACAAGGGAAAGCACAATGGGGAAGAAAGGAAAGCCAATGGGGTAGATATTGACCTATTTACTATAGTGGAGAATTGATGTTCAATTCCACTAGAAACGTTTTGAGGAACTCTGTAGAATGCGCCTCAGAACGGACTGCCCAAAAGGATAAGAAACTGAAGCAGGTTATTGGTTATGAGCTCCCTCAGCTTCCAAACTGCACTTCTGTGCTTATGCTAAGAGACTTCTTGCTTTGGAGACAGACTTGAGACTGGGAGGAAAAGATTCCTAACTTTGCCAAAGTGGGAGGGCAGTTCTGTGCAGGGAGCTGTCCATCAGTATTGTACTGAATTCAAGTTAGCCAAGAGGATGCTTTATAACCCATAATTTAGAGCTGACAAAACTCTCTTCTAGAGTTATAGAAGAGAAGTAAATTATGCAATGTGATACAGGTAGGATTTGGTAAATTTATTATTCAAAACAACTCCTTTGGGCTTCAAAACCAGAACTCTAGTAATATAGACTGAGATATAGAGGTACTAGTAGGGAAGGACATTAAACAAGTTACAGCAAATAACGGCTCTCTTAAGTGTTTTAAAGGTGCTTGTATAGTACAAAGCACTGTATATAGTATAATATAAAGGATTTTGTATAATATAATCATTAAGAGCACACACAGTGGTACGAGACTGGTGGCTTCAAATCCCATTTCATCTACTTCCTCGCTGAGTTTCCATGGGCAATTACTTGGCTGCACTTCCCTTCTTTTGATCTTGTTTTCTTTTTTACAGTTATTAAAAATAAGCTTTACAATAATTCCAAGCTCATAGGTATGTTGTGATAATTAAATGAGATTACACAGGTAAAAATACTTCACCCTAAACCTGGAGCATAGGAAGTTATAAAATGCCAGTTATTTTTAATACTATTTTATTTGTTTTCCAAATTGTATCACCACTTTCAACTGAGAAAGCAGTAATGTAGAAACCTCATAGCTAGATTATGAGTTTCTCAGTGCAGGGGAATGTATCTTATTAATATTTTTTCTTAAGCAATTGGCTAGCAGACAGTTTATGTCATATGGTACGACATATACAGAAACCAACACACAAACTAACAGACTTTATATGTTTCCTAAGATGGGCTGTTAATAATTGTTGTCAGATAGAGTTAAACTGGTATAGATACCTACACTTTAACTGAAGACTTTAAGTGACTTGAAATTTATGAAAACAATACAAGTTATGAAAAGCAATAAAACAATCATGCTATGCTCTGAAATCAGTCTTATGTGATATATAATATAATATAGCTACCCTGTTAATTTAAGCATAACTACAACAGATTACAGATGCAGTGCAGTGGGATACTATTACAACTTTGCCCTACTCTATTCAATAGTGTTGTTTTCCAATATGTTCTTTGGAATTCCTTAAGTTAGTATGGCTGGAACAGTAATATTCTCATACAATACATAATGTCTGTATCTGGAAGTCTACAAGTTTTTTCAAACTGTTTTTATGTGTTTTGCAGTAGAGTCACATTTTTCTATCTCAGGATCCTTGATTTACTATATCAGAGAACATTTTTAGTCTTTTCAAATATACTTACTTCAGGTTTAAGTATTGAGTGTTCATAATCACCATTGTTAAAGACAATTCTCTTCCTTACATTGTATCCTTTAAATTGCTAATTTCTTGCTTTGTTTTATGTCCTAGAAAGAGTCATTGAAGCTTCAGCAGTGTTCAGGTTTTTTGATCTGTGGATCATATTCTGTAATAGGGTGCCTTGTTATATACTGGTGTGTAATTCCACAGGATAGCGTGGAATAGAGGAACATTGTTAGTCTTTTTTTTTGGTAGGAAATGTAACTTTCTGATTGGAATCTGAAAACAAAATAAAACCACAAATGATTGTTTTTATTTGCCAAAACCGTGAACAGTATAAACTTCCTGGGTGTCTTGACTAAATAGCTTCATTGGTAGACTATCTTAAGACAGTTATTATTTAATCCCTCCAATCTTCATATAGAGTGGGCTGCACTTGCCCTGAGAAACTACTTAATACATACCTTTTGAATAAATTACTATTAATGTGAGGACATTTTCATGTGCAGTGTGACCTTACTGCTGAAGGAGTATAACATATAATGAAGCACAGTAGAATAAAGAATAAATTATTAAAAATATGCCAAATATACATAGAACTAAGACATTTATGTAAGAAAATATATATTTAAATTAATTTTCACACTTTTTTTTCCTTTTTTGAGACAGTGTCACACTCTGTCTCCCAGGCTGGAGTGTAGTGGTGAGATCTCAGCTCACTGTAACTTCTGCCTCCTGGGCTCAAGCAAACCCCCCCACCTCAGCCTCCCAAGTAGCTGAGACTACAGGTGCTCACCACTATGCCTGGCTAATTTTTGTATTTTTTTTAGAGATGGGGTTTCTCCAGGTTGGCCAGGGTGGTCTCAAATGCCTGGGCTCAAGCAATTCACCTACCTCGGCCTCCCAAAGTGCTGAGTTCACAGGCATGAGCCACCACACACAAGTGCACACTTTTTTCCTAATACAGTATTTTGAATATTGGAGAATTTATTATCTAGCTTAATAATATTAATGCAATAAATATAGAGCTTAATAGTTGCCAACCAAAAATGCAACAGCATGAAAATATTTCTTTATTAATGCTCATGAGTCTCTCTGTTACCTGTTTTGCTCTTCCTGTCTTGACTGAACTCATTTGTGAGTTTGTAGATGACATTGTATTGGTTAAGCAGTTCTGCTAATTTTGGAAGTGCTCTATCATGTGTTTGATGGCCTTTAGGTCAGTCTATGATTCCCTTATTTGTGACAATTAGACTTTTCTCCATATCATCTCCCATCCTCCAACAGGCTCTCTTGGACTTGTGCATTTGGCAGTTGCTGGATTCCCACTGAAAGTATTCAAGACCTTTGAAGTTTATGCTTGGAATTCCACAAGAAAATATTCTATTGGCCAAAACAAGTCACACGTTAGCCCATATTCAAGAAGGGAAATATACTCTGTCTATTGATGAAGGGGTTTGAAAGTTAGATTGGAAATGGCTTGGAGATAAAAAGAGAATAAAGTATTAGGGTGGTTTTTATAATCACTCTATTACTATAGCTTTAAGAAAATGTGCTAAAATATTTATCTTAAAAATTTAAGCTTTGTCTTTCTTCCATGAAGAAAACCAGTATTATTTTAATTGCTTAACCTTACATCTGATTTTTCATAAGCCTATTGCAAAGTCGTTTGACATTTTAAAATTGTTGTTGTAGAATTATATTGATCTGTATTATCTATGAGGAAAATACTACTGGCTTATTCTTCAGGCCTATTGTTTTGAAATCAGAATAAGAGTGCCTTGAAAACACATGAAGACCTTGCCCTGAATGAGTGGGCAAAGATACCGTTAAGGGGATAGTTTTCTAGATAATCAGCCATGGTGGGAACTTCTGCATTTAGACATGTTTTCAATTAGAATTCATTCAGCCTTTGCTGTGTTCCATCGTAGATGCTTGTCAAATTTTACCTCATTTTTTTTTCACAGACATCCCAGAGCTAATATTTCTCCAATTTACAGATGAGGATACTGAATCAGAGAGGTTAATTGATTTATCTGAGGTCATGCCATTAGCAAAAATTTTAAAGCCTTAGCACACTCTTTAAATCCATTATCCCATTTCCTGCTATAGTACAGATTTATCTCAAAGTGGTAC
Source organism: Homo sapiens (assembly GCF_000001405.40). Taxonomy (NCBI): domain Eukaryota; kingdom Metazoa; phylum Chordata; class Mammalia; order Primates; family Hominidae; genus Homo; species Homo sapiens. The sequence goes on from NC_000003.12 coordinate 82,284,830, forward strand.
TGAGTAGCATTTGAATTGAATGAAATTATTGCTTGTATGACAAGTTGGGAGACCCTTAAAAAATCCAGATAAATTATGATGAATATTTTATCCAAGGAAGTAACCATGAAAATATAAAAAATGAATGTTTGGATATAAAATTTAGTGAATGGCTTTTAATCTTTACTGTGAAACCAGAATGTTGAAGCCCCATAAAGTTAATTGAAGCAATACTTGAGAAATTGATTACTACCTATATGCAAAAATAATCTAGTGACAGGAAGCTTTAAAACTGAGGTAATTAAAACAAGTATTTGTGCTTTCTACAATCATGAATGAACTTTATTTTGTCTAACTCAATTACATATGCTGCAAAATGGCTGTTACTATTTTCATCCTATAGATGAGGTAGAGATATATTTCAGTATTTTTTAAACCTTTTAATAGAAAAAAACATGTATAGGTGCAAAGATATTATTTCACTTTGTCAGTAAACCATAAAATATTCATGTACAACAATATTTCATTTATTTTGATAATGTGAGAATGGTTTTCATAATTATTGCAAATGCTTATTCTGAAATAAAATATTTTCTTCCTTCACATCTACTATAAAACAAAAATATTTTAAGTAGGTATAACAGTACTAGCTGAAAATGATTCAAATCAGACACATGCCGTGATATAAGCCAAACACTTTCTTTTTTAATTTAAAATTGTTTTCTCATAGAATAAGTAATATTTTACCCTTGAAGGATTTTCTTTCTTTCATTTGTGGAAAGACCAGATGGGTCTCACAGGTCATTCACAGTTATGAAAGAAACAAAAAAAACCTTCTCAGAGGTGAGATATCCTTTAGTTTTCACTAAAAAACAAATTATTTGCTTGGATGGAAACCTTTTGTATAGCAGTGTAATTGCTGATATCTGTGGGGTGTCTTGGAAAATGAGATGCTCTGTCTCAAGGAGTTATAACTTATCCTTGTGCATAAAATCTGAATAAATAAATGGGAGCAGACCTTGAAGTTTCTTGCAGAGAGGAGATACATGAAACACAGCTGAGAAATCAGGACAAAAATATCAAATGATAACAAGTGAACACAATAAAATGATTTAGCAGTAGGACTAGCTTGGTCTTTTTTTTTCTGTTATGTATATTTTAAAGAAATTTTCTGGCTTTTCATAAAGAATTACATCTTCCCTTCAAAAATATCAAGTACTATGTATATAATGCTGAATGTTTAAGATTAAAAATTTAACTACTTTAGCTAAAGTAGTTATTTTTATGTACTTATTCTTATTTTTGTGTACTTAATTAATTTAAAAAATTCTTATTTTTGTGTACTTAATTAATAACAGTGTGCAAAATAATCTATGCAACAGCAAATATTTATTAAGTGCCTACTATGAGGCAAACACTGTTCTTGACACTTTGGGTAGAGCAATGAACAAAATAACCAGAATGTATTTCATCTTAAAGTTATAAATTATAGAATAGAAATAATATAAACAAATAAATATATAACAGATAAGTTTGTGATAAGACCTTTGAAGAAATATAGGAATGTCTGGGGAAGGTCTTTCTGAAAATGTAATATTTGAACAGATATTTTTAGGAAGGGATGGAACAAGCCAAACATATATCAGAAAGAAGAATGTCCAAAGTCAGAGAAAAAAAATGCAAAGGCTGTAAGACCAAAAGTATTTAATGATTTCATGGAACAGAAAGGAAGTCAATGAGAGTGTATTAAAGATATAACAGAAGATTATAGTCCTATACCATATAATAGTCCTTAGGTATTTGAATTAGTTTACTTTAGTTTCAAATATCAATTCATGTGCTCCTGATATTGTGATTTAATTTTTAAGTAATGTACCTGTTGGTGTTTATGAAATTTGTTTAATTAAAGTCAAATTTCAACAACTTGAAGAACTCGAGGTAAAATAAAAGCTTTAGGTTTTCCTTCTCTTACTTCCTATCCCATCCATTTCCCAACAGTAGAACAGGATTGAAGATTAAAATATCCCAAAGAACAAAACATAAGAGGGAAGGAGTATGACTATTTCTAGAAACTCAGTTCAAATGTCATGTCTGTGTCTGAAACATCAAGAATTGTGGACAGAAATAGCTCAAGTGGGATCAGATTAAAGAATAAAATAAACGCTTCCTAAAATTTTTTTTGTTTCTTACTGAGAAAGGAGCACAGTATCACAGGAAGTGAGTAAAGGAGAATTTAAACACATAGCTTGAGGGACTAGAGGGAATATTGAAACAGGCTGTGTGATTAATAGAAACTGCTCCCCCTGGATTGTCTTTGCACTTAAAGATAAGCAGTGTTGAAAAAAGTAAGAGGAGGGAAATGGGAAATTGGGAGGAGCCAGGGAAGATGGCTGATTAGTTGCAACTGTGAAACACCCCTTTCAGCACGAGGAACCAAAATACTGGGTAAACCATTACACTTGGAACAGATCTTTTGAGAGAAAACACTGAAAGTCGATAGGCAATGAAGACGCTATAGTTGAAGAAGAAAGAAGGTGGGGATCCTGCTCATAGTCCTCAGGTGCCAGGACTGGCCTTGGTCCCTAACTGAACCTAAGGAAGGGGTGAGTGAAGGAAACTTGGGGCATCGCTCTCCCACTGCAGACTTCTGGGAACTTAGCTACAGGAGCTTCCACAACCCCACTAGACCTTTGAACTGGCAGGGGGAGACTTCCAGAGATCAAGCAGAGGAACGACTCAAACTTACATGGATCCCAGAAGATTTCTCTGCACAGTGCAGCTGCAACAAAATTCAACCATAGGTATCTATTCCCCAGGGCTCTCCAGCTTGCCCTGAGTGGCTGCATCTCCTGTGATCAGTTGGGCCCAAGGAGAGCAGAGTTACCATTGCTGCAAGACCAGGGCACATCTGATCCACATACCCACTTGCCTGCCAGCCCCTTCCAAAACCACGTCTGGCCGCTCCTGCAGAAGAGTGCCAATGGCATGCCTCCAGTGCCCCACCTGACTGTTTTGCTGGTGACCTGGGAGCACTTCAGCCCCCACAGCACAGCCTGTGCTTGACCTCAAATGGCCAGAAGACAAATCTGTGCCTGGTCCCAACTCCCCAGGATTCAAGCACATCACCCACGCATGTTAAGCTGAGATATGTGGCCTGAGCTCAAGCAAGGAAGGAGCCCCCACTTTCAGAAAACAAAACAAAAAAAAGTGTGCTGAAGGTTTGCGTGCTGGCATGGGAGCTGGGTGTCCCTCCCTTCACAAGATCAGTATGGGAAGGGGATGCATAGATAGCCAGCTGAAGCTTCCTCCCAAAGAAGCCCCATAGCTTGAAACATCTGGAATGGCTGAGTGATCTGGTTGCAGAATGCTTGGGAAAAGCCTGGCTCATTGGGACTGCTCCTGAGGAAGACGCTGGAGTAAGACTCATTTGGTTGGAGGAATGTGAGCCCACAGCCATCTGCCAAGCTGAAAACTCAAGACCATGGACACCACACTGATTACACACCTGTGGTGCTACTGCCCTGCCCAAGGATCCTCCACCCTTGACCTACTGCATCACCAGACCACCACAGACATACTCCACAACTTGCTCTGACTCTGGTAATCCCATGAAGCTGCAGGTCCCCTGCTGGCCTAACTCATGGCTTGGGCCACCCAGAAGTGGAGGAGCACAGGCTGCCAAAGTCCCTCTTGGGGCAAATAAAAAGAAGGTATGGTGCCAGTAGTTGAAGAGGACATCATCAAGGCCCAGGAATGAACAAGGAAAGTATCATCTCCTGTCCCCTGACTATCTTCCCCAGAGCACTTCTCCATACAAACTGAAATAGAAAAGGGGTGCACAACTGAGTAAGAGATGGCTGGAGGGTCTTACTGTTAAGTGCCACCTACTGTACTACAGCCTAGTTTAAACCACCAAGGAAAAATACATTGCCTCAACACACTATGCCTGTGAAAACTCACTACAAGAATCTATCTACATCCAAGGATCTGAACAGATTCCTTTGAAAGGTGCCCTTTGAAAGCACCCAGAAATAAAGCCAATCAACTATACACAACATACACCAGAAACTTTCCAGGGAAATAAAAACAAAAAAATCCCATCCAAATGTTGGCAAGTTCAAAAAGAAAAATAAATGTAATTTCCCTTGGATTAGAAAGAATGAGTGCATGGAAGAACTCTGGCAATCCAAAAAGTCAGGATGTTTCACTATATCCAAAGGATTCCTAGCAATGCACCTTAACCAGATTGAAAGAACAGACGTAATTCAGAATCTGAATTATAGGAAAGCTCAACAAGATGCAAGAGAAAATTGAAATCCAAGCCAAAGAGACCAGAAAGAAATCGTCCAAGATTTGAAAGATGACATAAATATGTTAAGAAAGAAACAATCTGAACTTCTGGAACTGAAAAATTTACTACAAAATTATCAAATTACAATAGAAGCTTTAACAACAGACTAGGCAAGCTGAGGAAACAAAATTCAGAGCTCTAAGACTGATCCAAGAAAACAGTAAAGAAAAACGAATTTTAAAAAATGAACAAAGCCTCTGAGAAATATAGGATTACGTATAGTGACCAAACCTGGAACTCATTGGAATTCCTGAGAAAGAAGAGAGAGTAAACAACTTGGAAAACATGTGAGAATATAATCAATGAAAATTTTCCCAATCTCACAGGAGATATCAACAAGCATATACAGCTGATTAAAGAATTCCTGAGAGATACTATATAAGATGATCATCTCCAAAGGCACATATTCATCAGACTTTCCAAGGTCCATATGAAAGAAGAAAACTTTAAGGGAGTTAGAGAAATGGTTATACTACCTGAAAAGAGAACTACAGGAGGCTAACAGTTAATTTCTCAGCAGAAACCTTACAATCCAGAAGAGATTGGATGCCTATTTTTTAACATTTGTTAAGAATAAAAATTCAAACAAGAAGTTTATATCCCACCAAACTAAGCTTCGTAGGCAATGGAGAAATAAAATCTTTCCAAAGCAAGCAATCTTGTTACCTCTAGACCAGCTTTATAAAAGATGTTTAAGGGAGTTCTAAACATGGAAATTAAAGAATGATAGCTGCAATCACAAAAGCACACATTAATTACACTGCCCACAGACTGTACAAAGCAACTAAACAAGACTACAAAGCAACCAGCTAATAGCCCCACAAAAAATCAAAACCTTATATATCTATATTACCCTTGAATGAAAATAGTCTAAATGCCCCACTTAGAAAACAGAATGGCAAATTGGATTTTAAAAAGACCCAGCTTTCTGTTTTCTTCAAGAGACCTATTTCATGTGCAACAATACCCATAGGCTCAAAGTAAAGAGATGGAGATCTATCAATCATGCAAATGGAAAATGAAAAAAGAGAAGTGGTTGCTATTCTTGTATCAGTCAAAGCAGACATTAAACCAGTAACAAAGGACAAAGTTGGTCATTATGTAATCATAAAGAGTTCAATTCAATAAGAAAACCTAACTTGCCTAAACTTATGTCCACTTAACGTTGGAGTCCCTGGATGACAAAAAAGTGCTTCTAGACCTAGTAGAAGACTTAGACAGCCATATGATAATGGCGGGCGGGGAGGGGACTTCAGCACCCCATTAACAGTGTTAGATAGATCATTGAGAGAGAAAACTAACAAAGAAACTCTGAACTTAAATTTGACACTTGAACAATTGAACCTAGTACACATCAAGCAAGGAAGGAGCCCCCACTTACAGAATACTCCACTTAACAACCACAGAACATACCATCTCATCTGCACAGGGAAGATATTCTAAGATCGACCACATGTTTGACCATAAAGTATCTCAATAAATTCAAAAAAATTAAAATCATGCCAAGCATATTCCAAGACCATGGTGAAATAAAAATAAAAATCAAAACCAAGAGGGACTCTCAAAACTACGCAATTGCATGAAAACTAAATAACTTGTTCCTGAATGACTTTTGGTTAAACAATAAAATTAGGGCAGAAGTAAAAAAACTTCCCTGAAACAGAAATACATGTACAACATACAAAAATTTCCAATATGCAGCAAAAGCCTTGCTAAGAAGAAAGCTTATAGCTTAAATGCCTACACCAACAAGTTAGATCTCAAATTACCAATTTAACAGTATGTCTGAAGGAACTACAACAGCAAAAAAAACAAACTAGCCCCAAAGCTACAAGAAGAAAATAAGTAACTAAAAGTAGAGCAGAACTAAATGATATTGAGATGCAAAAACCATACAAAAGATCAACAAAATGAAAAATTGGTTCTTTGAAAGGATGAATGAGATGGATAGACTACTAGCTAGATTAACAAGAAAAGCAAAGATCTTAGTCTTCTACTAGGTCTAGAAGCACTTTTTTTGTGACAAAAGTTATGCTAAAATGGATCTCACAGAAATACAAATGTTCCTAAGAGACTGTTTTGAACACCTTTATGCACACAAACTCAAAACTCTTGAGAATTATTGCTTCAGGATTTCAGTTTCTTCCTGATTCAATCTTGGGAGGTTGTGTGTTTTGAGGAATTGATCAATTTCATATTTTGCCCAGTCCTAAATGGGTTATGTCCTGCACCTTGTTCTTTATTCACTCTCCTTGAGTAATCTCAATAGCAAATCTGATAATATGATAGTGATGCTAGAACCATGAGTATCAGAGCCGTATTCCCAACTGACTGCTTGACAGTTCCACCTGAGTGTTATTGCCTGAATTTTGTCCATTCACCTCACACCCCCAATTTATATGTTGAAGTCCTAACCCTGGTACTTCAGACTGTGACTGGACACAAAGGTCTGTAAATAGATAATTAAGGTCAAATGAGGTCACTAAGGTGTCCCCTAACTCACTATGATTCATGTCCTTATAAGAAGAGAGTAGGACACAGACAAAGATCATGTGAAGACACAGGGAGAAACAAAGCCAAGAAGAGAGACCTCCAGAAGAGAGACCTGCAGAAGAAATAAACACTGCCAATACCTTGACCTCAGACTTTTAGACTCAAGAATTGTGAGAAAATAATTTTCTGTTTTGTAAGGCAAGCTATTTGTGGTATTTTGGTATGAGAGCCCTAGCAAATTGATACACTAAGTATTCCACCAACTCATCAAACATAGTATCTCTAAAACGGAATTTGTCATTTCTCATCAAATCTAATCTTCTTCCTGGGTCACCTATCTCAGCCAGTGCTGACTTTAACTAGTTCCTCAAATCAAAAACAATATCTTCATTCTTGACTTAGTTTTCTCTCTCCATATAGTTTGATAACAAGAAGTTCTCTTTAAACCACAAAGAAAGCCCTCCAATCCATCCATTCTGTCCTCACTATCATCAGCCCAGTTGAGGCCATTATAGTCTCTTACTTGAGTTACTGCTTGAGCTTTCTAAATGACTTACTGCCACTGTATTGTGCCCTCCAACACAATGTCTCTGAAATGCACATCTGCTCACCATTACTTGCCTACTCTTTCTTGGCTCCCGTTGCTTTAAGGATAAAACTCAAAATGTTTATCACTGGCTTTAAAAGCTCTTTGTGAACTTTCTTGTATTTATCACTCTATATTGATTTCTCTCCACTGTACTTCTAGAAAACTTTGATATAGAAACTGAACTTGTCTTTTTCATTTTCTTGGTCATGTTGCTGTTCTCGCTCTCATCTCTAGACCTCTGCACATGTTATTCTCTTTGAGAAACATTTCTCTTCCTTTTCTTGTCCCTATTTATAGCCCTTTTCTGAGCTAACATCCCCAAGGTATTAGGTTTGGCAACACTTGATCTGAGAAGATTTTTATAATTCTAAAATCTGGGTTAGGGTCTCATTCTATATGCACCCAAGCTTTGCTGCAGTCCTACCCAGGCACTCATCAAATTACATTGTTTTGCATAATGATGTGCCTGTATGTCTCCCTAGGTTATAGTATTCATGAGAGCAGGAATATATTCCTATTAACTGGTAAAGTGCATATACATTGTAGGTATTCTATAAATACTTTTAGATATATAAATGAATGATTAAAGAAATAAAGCACAATGTTAATTGAAATTACCCTAGTCTAATCTAATTAAGGAATTTGTGATATTCTGCCCTATGCTTTTCTCTTTTAACTAAATGTTTTCAATGAACATGTATTGCATCTCTTAAAAATAGACTACCCCAAATATAGTATTTCGGCAAACTTTATGTTTTTAAGGTGTATGCTGAAATGAAGCAGACTACAGTATTTGTTTTTATACATATGAAAACTAAATATATATTTAAAACATCACTTGTTATTTTTACTTCCAGTCTAATTTAAACATACTTATGACTATTCTTACTTTCAAATGGAAGGAAAAAGTTTTGTATGTGTCAGGAAAATAGCATAATGTAGTATTCTTTAAATAATTTAATGTTTGAATGTTATATAAAACTAAAGCAAAATTTAAATATACTCATTCTTTAAATGTTATCATGGATATATGTACCATCAATTTCCTAGTCTAAAATGATTGCATTACCCTGTTTTATTCTGTAATCTCCCATTTAATAAAGACATGTCATTGAAAATTTAGCTGTCCTAAAATTTTGTTCTTCTCAAGCTACTAACTTTTCTTAGAATTATATGATCATAAAATTTATCTTAATTTTGAACCTCCTAAAGTTGTCTATCAATAAGTTTAATGTTTCCCAATGAAGGCCTTATATCTGAATAAACAGTCATTAAAATATCACTGGCTTACAAGTATATTCATATTCAAATAACAGAATGAATTTATTTGGCATTATTACCCACATGTTCATCACAGTTTTGCCCTGATTAATGTATTGCTTGAGAGGACTGACAATGACTGAGCTCTTAGATCACTTAACCTCTCTGCAAATCAACTTACTAATCTATATAATAAAGATGATAAAGTAAACATGATAATAATGTCCTACTTTATGATATTTCTTTTGAGAATTAAATGACGTGATGTATTTAAAATGATGTATACATAGTATATAAAAAGCTTTAAATAAATGTCATTTCAAAGTGATTGAAAATATCCCGTTCACTATTCCCCCCCAAAATATGAATGTTTGTTATTTTCTGTTGTATGGAATAATTTGCATTGTGCAATGTCATGGCAGTCCCTTCTCTGCCAAGTCTATAAAGATGTAAAACTTGTCTAATATTTGACTTGTACTTTCTGAGGTTTTAGAAGGAGTGACCACCATCACCATTGTTTTCTTACAAAGAAACTTGTATTGACCACATTTTTCAGTTTTTAGTCATTGCTGCTTTAAATCATTTTGTTTGGAAAATACCCAGAATCTTTTTGTCAGAATGTTGATTACAGAGGTTACTAGCCACAATATTAGCTCTTTCAGTTCACAAAGGTGCTATTTGGGAAAGTGCTTCTGTAGAGAGCTGGTCAGTATCCTAAATTAAGAACATTAATGTATCTTCAAAAATACCTTACTTTACTTCTGGGAACAATTCATGAAAATAAATTTTCCACTACATGATGATGTGGGGTTAATACCCTTACACATGTAAAGTAACTCACTTTCTCAAAATCGGTGGAATTATTTTGTCCTTAGTAAGAGTTGAAAGCCCATTGTTATAATTTATTTCAACATTTACTGAATGCCAGCAGTACTCCAGGCAGCTAGTGTGACACAATTCTACATCAATACCTGTAATTATGCAGGTTAAGCTAGTTTTGTTACATATATGCCAATACCCAATTTTTAAGCATGGATAACTTCATCTTATTTATTTCAAAGTTAAAGTTTTAGAGGACATCATGCACATGTAATAAAAAACTTTAAAAAGTTCAGTTGTTTCCTAGCTATCTATGACAAGCTTCAAAAACTTGAAAAGGAGGATTGCTGACAAAACAGAAATTATGGGTATACTTCTTTTCAAACAATAACAATAACAAATGAAAGTAGAAACTAAAATTCAACCAGAAATAAACCCTTGATTGTTCTCCTGTCAGCCTGTCACCTACATGAAACAGCTGCTAAAGCAAAGGCAGACAGAGCAGCTGTTGCTGCTAAAAGTACTAATGCTAAAGCTTTCCACAAAGACTTATTTTCATTAATATCAAATTGTGCTGACACGTTTTATCAACCCAGTGACACTGCCCGTCTCAATTAGAATCTTCACAAGGCCCTCTCCAGTGTCACAGTTGTGTCCAGCTTAGTATTCATACCATTTTCTTAGCGTAATGGAACTCAAGTTATCCTCTGCCCATTTTATATATCCTAATAGTGATGAATATTTACAAAGTCTCTAAAATAGACTATTCTTACTGAGACAAAATAGGAATCATTCCACTTACTCCATATGCAGAATCTGTAGATAAAAGTGGTGAAAATGTTCTTGTTTTTATTTTCCGGTGTTTTCAAAAACAGTGCATCTTGCAACTACTTCTCAAAGAAAGAAACCCTGTAAAAATAAATATCAAAGAACAACAACAGCAAAAACCCTGAAAATCCAACATAAGGTATATAAGAAGAGGAATTGAGACCTCAATTTGTATAACTTCTTAAGTTACCATACCTCAATTTCTTTCTTTCTTTTTTTTTTTTTTTTTTTTTTTTGAGACGGAGTCTCGCTCTGTCACCCAGGCTGGCAGTGGCACAATCTTGACTCACTGAAACCTCCACCTCCCGGTTCAAGTGATTCTCGTGCCTCAGCCTTCCGAGTAGCTTGGATTACAGGCGTGCACCACGCCGCCCAGCTAATTTGTATTTTTAGTAGAGAACGGGCCAGAACTCCTGACCTCAGGTGATCTGCCTGCATCAGCCTCCCAAAGTGCTGGGATGACAATCGTGAGCCACCTTGCCCGGCCCGTACATCAATTTCCTTGCGTATTCAGTACCCGTGGCCCGGAAAACCTTCCATCGCTTTTCAGCTTGGTGATTTCTAACCATTCTCACACATTCTTCAGATGAAATACCCTGTCGTCTTTCAGGTTTACTGAGGTAGAGTTAAATAATTCCTTATCTATTTATTACTAACTTTATATATACTTCTTCATAGTACTTGTAATGTGAAGGCCACTATATTGTGAAACTCTGATAGCATGAACTTTGCTTTCTCCATTTGATAGTTCTAGTACCTAGCTCAGAGCCTGTTGAATATCAATGCAATTCATATTTGAGGAATTAATAAATGAGATAAAAACATCACCGCAATAGAAATTAGCTAAAGAAGAAATTATTATTATTTTTTTTTTTGTAATTTGAACCGTATGGGCTGGTATAGTGAAGATTTTCTTGTGGAAAGGAGCAATTATAGAGAAAAGCTATTACAGAACACATACAACATACAAGTCAAACTGGCATCCTATTTTAAAGAACTAGTGCTTCTTTATTTTTCATATGTAAAATGTGGATGATTAATTCTGCTTGAAGCAGTGGGATTTCCTACCTAAAAAGCAAAGGTCATCTTAATCCAGCTATCAAAGCATAGTGTTTAGGACATTGATGAAAGGACTCCTGGACAATTAGTTTTGCATATCTCGCTTTTACCAGGGATTTATAAAAGTTGGATTATGTTCAGAGGAAAGAGATCAGGATAGAGAGAACATGGAATTATATGATAATAAAAACTTTTATGTCACTTATAACCCTTAATATTGAGAAAAAATATCTCAGAGAAGAAAAAAACTAGAGCAAGGACTAGTGGGTAGAAAATACTGAGAGAATTCAACAGAACACTGAACAATGGTTATGTGAACAATTAGTAAAATCTAAAGGTGAACTGGTCTATTTCAGAATATAGTGAATTATTTGTCAGTGAAGATATTCAAGCACTTAGTACAGGGAAATAAAACATTAAATGAGGTGTAAGAAGAGCGCGATTCCAAGGACTCTTCCTTTATCTAAATTCTATAATGCTAATATCCTAGTAAACAGAATTAGTGTAAGACTTTAAGGCTCCAATTTTACAGCATATTTTAGTGTTTTAAATTTGTATTTTAATGCTTTAAACAGACATCCTGGAGACTTCTTTTTATAAAATCATTTCAACTGTGGAAATCTCAGGTTTGTACACAATTTCCTACCATTAGAAGTGAAAATGTAATTGCTATAGATTTTAAATTAGTGTTTTTAGTAATGTGAGGTTTATTACTTTCATAGTAATACATACCTCTACCCAATATTTCATGCATTTTCTCCATAAATACCAAACTTGTTTGGCACTTTCCAATGTTGAAATGTCTGCTCTTACTGCTTCATTGTGTTAGAGATCTTCAACACAGCAAGAAAAAAAATAAAAATGCATCTAGTTTGGAAAGGTAGTATTAAAACTGTCTTCATTCTCTGATGACATGATTTTATTTATGAAAATCTGATTAAATCTATTAAAAAACTGTTAGACATAATGTGAGATTAGCAAGTTTCCAAAATATTGCAACATATATGATAGCACTAAAATATAGAACACGTAGATACATAGGAGTTTTTATGCAAGACTTTTATACTGAAAAATTACAAAACATAGCTGAGAGAAATTTTAAAAGATAGAAATTACAGGAAAGAGAGTTGTGTTCACAGATGAGAATACTCAACATTGTTAAAATGCCAACTGTCCTATATTGATCCATAGATTGAATGCAATCCCAGTTAAAATCCCAGCAGAATTTCCTTTAGAAGCTGACAACCTAGTTCTAAAATTCATATGAAAATGCAAAGGATCTAGATAGCCAAAATAATTATGAGAAAACTCAAATTTGGCAGATAAGCCACTGCCTGTTTTGTTTAATAACCTGTATACATGCCAATGTTTGCTATTGATATGTAAAGACAACTAATGAAAATATTGTCAACTATTCCTTTCTCATGAATAATTTATTTTTAAAAAGTTTGAATATCAAGTATAAACTGTTCTATACATTTTCCAACTTTAAAAATATTTTCCCCATTTTATAAGATTTCTGTGTTGTTACATATTCTTTAAAATGCCATTATTAATATATGAAGAATAATGGACTTTTTTATTGATTATTCCTGTATTCAGTTTACCTTTTTTATTTACTATTGTAGATAGGTCTATAGTTAGAGTTTTCCCTGTATTTAGGATTATTTTAATAGCATGTATTTCCAGTTATAATTGTAATTACTAGATCAAAGTGTGTGGACATTTATGGTTATCTATAATATATAATTTCAATATATATTAAAAATTTAAATAATTTAAGTTATAATTTTTAAATATTTATATTATTTTATAATATAAACATATTATTTTATAATATAAACATTATTTATATTATTTTATAATATAAACATTATTTATGTTATTTTATAATATAAACATTATTTATGTTATTTTATAATATAAACATTATGTTATTTTATAATATAAACATTATTTATGTTATTTTATAATATAAACATTATTTATGTTATTTTATAATATAAACATTATTTATGTTATTTTATAATATAAACATTATTTATGTTATTTTATAATATAAACATTATTTATGTTATTTTATAATATAAACATTATTTATGTTATTTTATAATATAAACATTATTTATGTTATTTTATAATATAAACATTATTTATGTTATTTTATAATATAAACATTATTTATGTTATTTTATAATATAAACATTATTTATGTTATTTTATAATATAAACATTATTTATGTTATTTTATAATATAAACATTATTTATGTTATTTTATAATATAAACATTATTTATGTTATTTTATAATATAAACATTATTTATGTTATTTTATAATATAAACATTATTTATGTTATTATATATACAATAATCTACAAAATAATCTAATGGAATCTGTAGATAGATTCATTCCATTGAATATAGATATGTTAATTCAATTGGATAGTATGTATTAATATCTATCTGGTGTTTTCTAAATGAATTTTTCTAATTTACCTTGCCTCTGCTGATTTTCAAAGGTAAGTTATGAGATACATTTTTCAAATTCAGAATTTAGTACTTTTTGAGCTTTGTTGAGATACCATATGAGGAAAAATGGTATATACATTTATTTTATTTATTTATTTATATGGCTGCTATTTTTTTTTACATCTATGAGACGTTTTAATACAACCTTATGGAAAATGCATATTATGAAAAAATTATACAGAGATTTCAAAAGTTTTGGGACCAAAATAAACTTGTACTAACTTGTAACGTGTCTGAACCGGACCTAATTTGAGGCACTAAGAAGGATTAGACATCAGTTTAAAAGGGGACCCTATCACAGCAACATGAATTCTGCTAAAATTGTGACAAGAACAAACACCAAATTTATGGTATAGGTAGAAGAATGGTGAAATCGTGATGCTTTACACAAAGTTGGTAGGGACAATGCCCTGTAGAAATCAGTAGTATACAAATGGATAACTCATTTAAAAATGTTATGAGACAATGTTGAAGATGAAGCCTGCAAAGGCAGTCTATCTTCATCAATTTGCAAGTAAAAGACTTTGTTCATGCCCAAATTAAACAGGATCAACAGTTAGCTGAAACAACAGCCAACCCCATAGACATCTCAATTTGTTCAGGTTACACCATTTTGACTGAAAAATTTAAATTGAGCAAACTTCCTACTCAATGAGTGCCAAAACTGTTGTGCCTTGATAAGCTGCAGACAAGAGCCTGATCACCTGGGGATGAGAGCAGAACTTTCATTCAATGAAAAAAAAATTTTTTTTTATTATACTGTAAGTTTTAGGGTACATGTGCACAATGTGCAGGTTAGTTACATATGTATGCATGTGCCATGCTGGTGCGCTGCACCCACTAACTCGTCATCTCGCATTAGGTATATCTCCCAATGCCATCCCTCCCCTCTCCCCCCACCACACAACAGTCCCCAGAGTGTGATGTTCCCCTTCCTGTGTCCATGTGTTCTCATTGCTCAATTCCCACCTATGAGTGAGAATATGCGGTGTTTGGTTTTTTATTCTTGCGATAGTTTACTGAGAATGATGATTTCCGATTTCATCCATGTCCCTACAAAGGACATGAACTCATCATTTTTTATGGCTGCATAGTATTCCGTGGTGTATATGTGCCACATTTTCTTAATCCAGTCTATCATTGTTGCATCTTTGGGTTGATTCCAAGTCTTTGCTATTGTGAATAGTGCTGCAATAAACATACGTGTGCATGTGTCTTTATAGCAGCATGATTTATAGTCCTTTGGGTATATACCCAGTAATGGGATTGCTAGGTCAAATGGTATTTCTAGTTCTAGATCCCTGAGGAATCGCCACACTGACTTCCACAATGGTTGAACTAGTTTATAGTCCCATCAACAGTGTAAAAGTGTTCCTATTTCTCCACATGCTCTCCAGCACCTGTTGTTTCCTGACTTTTTAATGATTGCCATTCTAACTGGTGTGAGATGGTATCTCATTGTGGTTTTGATTTGCATTTCTCTGATGGCCAGTGATGGTGAGCATTTCTTCATGTGTCTTTTGGCTGCATAAATGTCTTCTTTTGAGAAGTGTCTGTTCATGTCCTTCGCCCACTTTTTGATGGGGTTGTTTGTTTTTTTCTTGTAAATTTGTTTGAGTTCATTGTAGATTCTGGATATTAGCCCTTTGTCAGATGAGTAGGTTGCGAAAATTTTCTCCCATTTTGTAGGTTGCCTGTTCACTCTGATGGTAGCTTGTTTTGCTGTGCAGAAGCTCTTTAGTTTAATTAGATCCCATTTGTCAATTTTGGCTTTTGTTGCCATTGCTTTTGATGTTTTAGACATGAAGTCCTTGCCCATGCCTATGTCCTGAATGGTAATGCCTAGGTTTTCTTCTAGGGCTTTTATGGTTTTAGGTCTAACGTTTAAGTCTTTAATCCATCTTGAATTGATTTTGGTATAAGGTGTAAGGAAGGGATCCAGTTTCAGCTTTCTACATATGGCTAGCCAGTTTTCCCAGCACCATTTATTAAATAGGGAATCCTTTCCCCATTGCTTGTTTTTCTCAAGTTTGTCGAAGATCAGATAGTTGTAGATATGTGGCATTATTTCTGAGGGCTCTGTTCTGTTCTATTGATCTATATCTCTGTTTTGGTATGAGTACCATGCTGTTTTGGTTACTGTAGCCTTGTAGTATAGTTTGAAGTCAGGTAGTGTGATGCCTCCAGCTTTGTTCTTTTGGCTTAGGATTGACTTGGTGATGCAGGCTCTTTTTTGGTTCCATATGAACTTTAAAGTAGTTTTTTCCAATTCTGTGAAGAAAGTCATTGGTAGCTTGATGGGGATGGCATTGAATCTGTAAATTACCTTGGGCAGTATGGCCATTTTCATGATATTGATTCTTCCTACCCATGAGCATGGAATGTTCTTCCATTTGTTTGTATCCTCTTTTATTTCCTTGAGCAGTGGTTTGTAGTTCTCCTTGAAGAGGTCCTTCACATCCCTTGTAAGTTGGATTCCTAGGTATTTTATTCTCTTTGAAGCAATTGTGAATGGGAGTTCACTCATGATTTGGCTCTCTGTTTGTCTGTTATTGGTGCTATCTATGACAAACCCACAGCCAATATCATACTGAATGGGCAAAAACTGGAAGCATTCCCTTTGAAAACCGGCACAAGACAGGGATGCCCTTTCTCACCACTCCTATTCAACATAGTGTTGGAAGTTCTGGCCAGGGCAATTAGGCAGGAGAAGGAAATAAAGGGTATTCAACTAGGAAAAGAGGAAGTCAAATTGTCCCTGTTTGCAGACGACATGATTGTATATCTAGAAAACCCCATTGTCTCAGCCCAAAATCTCCTTAAGCTGATAAGCAACTTCAGCAAAGTTTCAGGATACAAAATCAATGTACAAAAATCACAAGCATTCAATGAAAACTTTAAACAAGTGAGATAAAGATCCTGAAGCATTTCCTTGAAGAACTGTAACAGCTTAAGATCCTGAAGCATTTCTTTGAAGAATTATAACAGATTATGAAACATGATTTTGCCAGGACAATTCTTAAGCTAA
The DNA here is from genome assembly GCF_000001405.40 of Homo sapiens. Taxonomy (NCBI): domain Eukaryota; kingdom Metazoa; phylum Chordata; class Mammalia; order Primates; family Hominidae; genus Homo; species Homo sapiens. The sequence continues at coordinate 82,301,766 of NC_000003.12, forward strand.
AACACAATCTAAGCAATGGCTACCATTAGATGGAAGTAGTCAAGTCAAAGCACAAGTGGACCAGTCAAGAGCAAAGGTCACAGCAACAGGTGTTTGGGATGCTCAAGGCATTTTCCTTGTCGACTTTATGAAGGGCCAAAAATTGATAATATCTGCTTATTCTCAGAGAGTTTCGAGAAAGTTATTCAAAGCTGTAGCAGTATTATACCTGAGAAAGCTCCACCAGAGAGTCCTTCTCCGCCACAATAAAGCTCCTGTTCAATCTTCTCTTTAAAAAAATTGCCGCTTTGTGAGAATTTTAATGGGAAATCATTAGGCATCCACCTTACAGTCCTTACCTGGCTCCTTCTGACTTCTTTTTATTTCCTGATTACAAAAACATGTGTAAAGGGCACTCATCTTTCTTCAGTTAATATAAAAACAATGGCATCAATATGATTAAATTTCCAGGACCATCAAATCTTTAGGGATGAACTAAATATCTGATATCATTGCTTACAAAAGTTTCTTGAACTTGATGGGGATTATGTAAAGTCAATTTTTTTTTTTACTTTTAATTCTATTTTTTCACAAACTTTGGAGTCCACTCATAATTGTTTTTCATTTGAATTTATTATGAGGAGTGTCTGTTTTGCTCTAAGCTCTACCATTTATTTTGACCTATTAATATTTTTCTCATACATCCATATTACTGCCATTCATATTACAATTGTAAACTTTTCTCTTTAATTGTTTTGTAGCAAACATGAGCTGTTTAACTTTAACAAAAAAAGTTAAAATTTTTATAGTCAAATAATATTTATACCTAAAATATTATAGTGAAATAATATTTCTTTACAATTTTTTCAATACCGTTTGAGTTTAAGAATTCTTTACCTAGAGTGCAACAAATACTCACTTTTATCTGGGTTTTCTTTCATTGTATTACCGAGATGAAAGGTACATGTAATTCATCTATTAACCTTTTGTTTTTTTAATACTTTATTTGGTGTATGTTCTGAAGTGACAATATAATCTCCACTATTGCCTGTTTTGCTTTATGCCCAATTGGTAGTGAACTACCGTACAATATTTCATGCACATTCTCTCCTTCACAAATCATTTGGAATACTTAATTGGAGCTTGACTGTTTCTGGTCATTATTATCTTACCCATTGATGTCTTCATTCTGGGTCAAGGATTGTCAGATTACTTTTCATTGCCAAATATTTATTTTCTATTATTTCCTATGTATTCTTTCAAATAGACAATGAGTCATTTAGCTGTTTCAAAATATCATTCAAATCAAATTCGAAATGTTTTTTCCATTGATATTTACAATTAAATAGATAAATGTTATCTACCTTCATGTTATTTTCTAAACCAAGAAAAGCAAGTGTTTTTCTCAATTATGTGTATCATTTTCATAGATGTTGCACAATAAGTTACTTCTGAATATATGCCTTTAAAACAGATACATTTTTAGTTGTGTACAGATACTTTTTCATAGAATCATTTTAAGAAGCAAGGTATCAACAAACATATTCTTTCCTAAGTTCTTACTGAGTAACTGTGATATGCTTGGTTAAATGCTGGGTGCAGGCATGGGTAATCATAAATAAAATGAAAACCCACTTATCTTATAGCAGTCAAGGGTTATAGACACTAGAGTGTTTTGAAGGTCAAGATACATTAAGGAGCTTACAGTTTTTCTTGACAGAAAAATAGTTTCTGAGCTGAGTTATGGTATTATAAAACTGGATTTTTAGAAAAAATTCTTGGCTATCTTCTCATCTAAATAACAATATGTGGAAGCTATTGGAAGGTGAGAAAGCACTAAAAAGAAAGAATGTGGAAAATATGTAACTATAATACAAATAGGTAATTAAATCATGGTAAGAATAGTAGAAATGAAGTGAAATAAAAAGAAATAGTATGAGAAACATTGTAAATGCAAAATTGAGAGGAATTCAGTTATTCCATAGCCAATTATTAAGCCTAGTATGGGTCGGGCACTGGGAAAAGTAAGAAAAGTACAAATATGAAGAAGCAATATTTTTTAAGTGCTATCTAGAAAACAACAGAAATAGGCAAATAGGGATACACATTGTGTTATAAAATCATGAAGCCATGTTACAAGTGACGTTTATGTTATAAATGCATCCACAAAAGTGATGGGTCTGATACCTTCCAGACCTTCAATTGAGCATGGACCATTTGTTCTGAATTTATTCAAACAACAAATATTTATAGATGACATTTGGAAAGTGTTAGACACTGGGGATATAAGAGTGAACAAGACCAATATTGTTTCAAACTATGTAGAGCTCAAAATTTGGTGAACAAATGAGACACAAGGCAATTATACCACAGCATGATAAACACTGAAATAGGGGGGATATATGTTAGTATGCTAGAACACAAAAGAAGTAACTAATCCAGACATTATGTGTCAAGAAAGCTTTCTAATACAAGATTTTACAGAAGCAAAATTTGAAAAATGAGTACTTTTAAGCATGAATATATCATTAAAGCAATTTTCTGTATCCTGAACTAAAAAAACAAGAATGAATTTCATGCAGGCTGAGGCATCTGTGAATCAAAATGTTCAAACTGAATATATAAATTCAATACTCATACATGTATTTGGAAAGTAGGAAAACATTGTAAAGGCTAAAGAAGAGATCATAATGGAATTACAATTTCAAACTAAAAAAAAACCCCTATATAGCAAAATTTCTAGTATGTAAGGAAAAAGTCTTAAACAATTTGTAACTATTAATAAATATATTGCAAAAATAAGAATCAATAGTAAATGAGTAGTGAGTCAGGCATGGTGGCATATGCTTATAGTCCAGCTCTGTAGGAGGCTGAGAAAAAAGGATTCCTTGACCCCAGAAGTTCAAGGCCAACCTGGATAACATAAGGAGACCCTGTCTCTAAAACACAAAGTAAAATAATTTAAAAAGTGAATAAGTAGTATTCAAACTTATTATGTTTAAAAAATGGTAGAGTACACTTGAAAGCAGATGAAATTAAAGTAATAAACATCAAAGTAGAAATTAAGAAGATAATTTTTGAAAAAGGAGAAAATAAATGATTTAATACTTTGTGGAAAAGTTTTTTTTTTTTGTATGTGACAGAACAGTGATCTTATTGGTGTAAAATATGCAATAGAAGGCATACTTATGTAATATTAGGTATAAACAAGCTAAATTCAGATAAATATTAAAAATTCATAAGCTAATAATCTAAAATATATCACCTCAATATATTTAAAAATATAGAAGTAATGAACAATTTTAACCAAATGTGTAGATTTCAAAATTGTCAAAGAGAATACCTGAATATATCTATAGTTATTATAGAATCTAAATCATTTACAAAAAGCACACGTATGCTTTTCATAAACAAATACATCAGCCCTAGACTATTTTATAAGCCAGTTCTATTAAATGCTCAAGAAGAAATACTTCCTATGTTATAGAATATTTTCTGGATAATTGAAAAAAATGGTAAACCTATCTAGTTCATTTCATGAAACTAGCATATGATTGATACAAAACTTGCAACAAAACCCAAAAGGGAGCTGATTCAGTAAAATGGCAGAATAGAAAATCTAGGCTCCACTACCCGCCCTGCCAATCCCCCCAGAATGTTTAGCTAGCAACTACCTATAGACGGGAAAATCTTTTTGAAAATCCCAGTAATTGGAAACAAGCCAAAGATACCCACGTGTTCTGCAGAAATGAATTAAAACCTTACTAGAAGAGAAAGAAGAACGGTGTCTCTACAACCATGGTACACCTCGCTGTCTCTCTCATATCTGCACAATTCCAGATGGAGAGGATTTCCCCTGGTCCTCCATTTTTGTAGAGAGAAAAAAGAACTGGAGGCAGTCATTCAGCTTTCCTAGCACCGTGAGACACTTCCCCGGAAGCCCACTCTGATCTCACCTCCCAAGGAACACTATGTCTAATGGCATTGCTAGATTGCCTAGGGTCAAGTGAAAACAAAGAAAGTAGGCAGAGGTCATAGTGATGAGTAGACAGATCTTAGTGGTGCCTCTACGTTCCTGCTAGTTGTGGCACCAATCAGAGATATTAGCTAATTTTGTAGCCCACTCACAAAGCTGACCTAGTCACCTTCAGAAGCATGGTGGGAAGTTCAACCTAGTCACTTTCAGAAGCACGGTGGGAAGTTCAACCTAGTTTGAGTCCCTAGGCAGCTAGCCTCCATGTCCAGCCTCGTAGCCCACCACAATGACCCCACACAGGCAGAAAGATACCTGGTTCTGCTCATTTCAAAGAAACATGGTGGCTAGAGTTGTGTGACTGAGGACAAACAGCTGCTCGATTCAGCAAAAAGCCCACCTCACAGCTGCACCCTGGAAGAGAGGAAATCTTAGCTTCTTCCCTTGTATAATGGTCAACAATCTGGACTCTGAAAGGGAAGTAATTTTCAATCTTGCATTTCTAGGGAGCATAACTTCTCATCCCACCCATCCAAAGCTCCATTCCACCTAACTATGGAGCCCATACTGTAGTCCTGCACAACTGCAGGTTCTGACTAGTGAAATCACCCAGCCAGAGAATACATCTTATGACTAGCTTGAACAGAAACCATGTTAGTACTCAGACAGCAGCTCCACCTGATAGCAGAGCTCAGACAATTGTCTTGCTAGATAGTGTAGCCCAGTCAGCAGTCTGACTCAATATTAGAGTAAAGGCAGCCGCCCAGGCAATGAGAAAACCCACAATAAGCTCTGCCTGCTTGGGGTCATCCATCAGCTGGCCCTTCCAGAATCACAGGCTAACCTAAATAGTGAAGGTCTATTACTGCCAAAGAACCACAGGCAAAGGCCAGAAGAGGAAGCTGTTTCCTCAAATGTGCAGGCAACAACACTATAGCACAAGACATACAAAGACTGAGGGAATCATGACATCTCAAAAGCAACAATAAAGATCCAATCATGGATTCTGACAAAATGGAGATCTATGAAATGACTGATACAGAATTCAGAATAATACTTTTTAAAATTTTCAGTGAACTACAAGAATATGTGGATAGAAAATTAAATGTAATTTAAAAAACAATACACACAAAAAGATAATTTTGACAAATAAATAAAAACAATAAAAAAGATCAAAATACAAATCTTAGAGATGAAGAATACTATGACTAAATTGAAAAGTCCAATATAAAGCTTCTACAGCAGGTTTAATCAAGCAGAAGAAAGAATCAGTAAGCTAGAAGACAGAACATTTGAAATTATCCAGGCAGATGAGCAAAAAGGCAAAATGTTAAAGAATGAAGAAAGCTGAGGGAATTATGGTACATTAGGAGATCAAAATTCACATAATAGAAGTTGCAGAAGACGAAAGACTAAGAAGAAAGCGTATTTAAAGACATAATGGTGAAAAAATTTCTAATATGGGGATAGATGCCAACATACAGGTACAGGAAGAGCATAGGTCTCCAAACAAATTCACTCCAAACAGGAGCTCACCAAGACATATAATAATAAAACTATCAAAAAATCAAAGACAAAGTTATGCGGTAAGCAAAGTATTTATTTCTTCCTCATTTCAGAAAGACAGCTGTGTTTGGTAACATATTCTTGGTTAGTAGTGGTTCTCCTTCAGCACTTTATATACATCATCCCACTCTCTCCTGGCATGCAAGATTTCTGCTGAGAAATTCACTGAAGATCATTTTGGCACTTGTTTGTATGTGATTCAAACCATCAAAAAATCAAAGACAAAGTAATGAGATACACAAGAGATAAGAGTTAAAAACTCTCAATAAACTAGGTATTGAAGGAACATACCTCAAAATAATAAGAGCCATTTATAACAAACCCACAGCCAATATCATACTAAATGGGCAAAAGCTGGAAGCATTTCCCTTTGAAAACTGTCACAAGACAAGGATGCCCTCTCTCACCACTCTTATTCAACATAGTATTGGAAGTTCTGGTCAGGGCAATCAGGCAAGAGAAAGAAATAAAGGGTATTCATATAGAAAGGGAGGAAGTCAACTTGTCTTTCTTTGCAGATGACATGATCATATATCTAGAAAACCCCATCAACTCAGCTTCTTAAGCTGATAAGCAACTTCAGCAGTCTCAGGATACAAAATCAATGTGCAGAAATCACACTCATTCCTATACACCAGCAACAGACAAGCAGAGAGCCAAATAATGAATAAACTCCCATTCACAATTGTCACAAAGAGAATAAAATACCTACAAATACAGCTGACAAGGGAAGTTTTCTCTCCTTCAAGGAGAACTACTAACCACTGTCCTTAGGAAATCAGAGAGGACACAAGCAGAAGGAAAAACATTTCATGCTCATGGATAGGAAAAATCAATATCATGAAAATGGCCATACTGCCCAAAGCAATTTATAGATTCAATGTTATTGCTATTAAACTACCATTGACATTGTTCACAGAATTAGAAAATACTATTTTAAAATTCATATGGAACTGACAAAGAGCTCTTAGAGCCAGGACAATTCTAAGCGAAAAGAACAAAGCTGGAGGAATCGTTCTACCCAACTTCAAACTATACTACAAGGCTAGAGTAGCCAAAACAGCACAGTACTAGTACAAAAAAAGGCACATAGACCAATGGAATAAAATGGCGAACTCAGAAATAAAACTGCACATCCACAGCCATGTGATCTTTGACAACTCTAACAAAAACAAGCAATGGTGAAAGTTTTTCCTATTTAACAAATGGTGCTGGGAGAATTTGCTAGCCATATGCAGAAAATTGAAACTGGACTCCTTCCTTACACTTTGTACAAGAATAAACTCAAGATGGATTAAAGACTAAAAAAACTCAAGAAGAAAATCTAGGCAATACCATTTAGGACACAGGCACGGGCAAAGAATTTGAAAAGACAGAAATTCTTCCGAATTGTTTTTATGAGATTCACCCACAAACCGCAAATAGGCTGGGTGCGGAGGCTCACACCTATAATCCCAGCACTTCTGGAAGCCAAGGTGGGAAGATTAGAAGTCAGGAGTTCGAGACCAGCCTGACCAACATGGTGAAACCCCGTCCCTACTAAAAATACAAAAAATAGCTGGGCGTGTTGGTGCGCACCTGTAATCCCAGCTACTCAGGAGGCTGAGTAAGGAACTGGGGAGGCGAACTTGAACTTGGGGAGGCGAAGGTTGGAGTGAGCCAAGATTGCACCATTGCACTCTAGCCTGGGTGACAGAGTAAGACTCCATGACAAAAAACAAACAAACTAAACAAACACCAAAAAAAACGCAAGTAACCAAGGCAATCATGAACAACAAAATAAAGAAGCTGGAGGCATTACACTACCTTTTGTCCCCAAAAGCACACAACAAAACCAAAAATAGACAAATAAGATTACATTAAACTAAAAAGCTTTTCCACTTAAACAAACAAGGTGAAGCGACAACCTACAAATAAGGACAAAATATTTGCAAGCCATATATTCAATAACAGATTAATATTCAAAATATATCAGGAATTCAAATAGTTGAATAGCAAGAAAAAGTAAGTTAAAAAATGGGCAAGGAAACTGAATAGACTTTCCCAAAAGAAGACAGACAGATGACCAACAGATGTAGGAAAACATGCTTAACAACCCTAATTATTAGGTACATTCAAATTAAAACCACAATGAGATGTTATCTCACACTTGTCATAATAGCTTTTATCAAAAAAATAAAAAATAAATGTTAGTAAGGATGTCTAGAAAACAGAACCCTTGGCCACTGTTGTTGGAAATGTAAATTAGTACAGCAGTTATGAAAAGCTGTGTAGAGGTTCCTGAAAAAACTAAAAAGAGAACCACCATATGATCCAATTATCGCACTTCTGAGTATTTACCCAAAAGATTTGAAATAAGCTTGTTGAAGAGATACCTGAAGCCATGTTCACTGTAGCACTATTCACAATAGCAAAGTTATAGAATCAAGCTCAGTGTCCATTAACAAATTAATGAATAAAGAAAATGTGGCATATACCTACAATGAAATACCATTCAGCATTAAAAAAGAATGAAATTATCTGTCATTTGTGACAACATAGATGAAATGGAGAATATTATATTTAATGAAATAAGCCAGGCACAGAGAGACAATTATCACCGGTTCTCACATAATATGTGGAATCAAAACCAACCAAAACTCACAGAAACAGAGAGCAGTGTGATTACAAAGGCTGGGAGATGAGAGGAATGACAGATGATGGTCAAAAGGTAGAAGAACTCAGAAAAAAAGCAATATTTTTTTGAGATCTATTGCACAGTGTCATAGATACAATTAATAATAGTGTACTATAAATTTCAAAATGGCTAAGAGAATAAATTTCAAATGGTTTTACCACATAAAAAGTTAAGTATTTGAGGTTATGGATATGTTAATTGATTACTTCACATTGTATTAATAAATTATAACATTATTTTGTACCCCATAAAAGCATGTAATTGTGAATTGTCAATTTAAAATAAAATAAAAAAGCAAGCAAACAGACAAACGTAAACCTAAAGGGAAAGACAATGTACGAATTAAGATTTCAAAATAATAGAACTTTTAAGAGCATGAAAGAACAATCGTTAGAGGAAAGACTCACTTACCTACATACATGTAAAATCCCTAAATAAAGTACTAACAAACTAAATTCAACAAAATGAGAAATGGATAAGAAATCCTACAAAACTTTATAAACAATAATTATCCTTTTGCCAACTTTCTATATAATGGTGAAAATAGAAGCATTTCTTGTTAAAATCAGAAATAACATAAGGGATTTTTGTTATTACAGCTTCTATTCACTATTGTATTTCTTCTGTCAAGCAGATTATACAGAAGTGTGGTAATAAAGGTTTAAATAACTAAAAGAAATAAACACAAAATAATTATGAGAATCTGTAGACTAAACTCAGAATGAATAAATGTGAGGCTGTTTGACATAACGTCAGGATACCAAGGGCAGGTATGTTCCTACAAGCAGCAATTAGTTGGAAAAATTTTAACGTAAACAACATATATATGAGAGAGTACATTTCAATGGAATTCTGCAGAGCATATATGGCCATGTAACCAAGTTAAGGCTTAGTCAGCACCAATAAGCTTTCCTCTTGCCGCTTTAAATTCAGTACAGCAGGCCACTCTCCTCCTCAAAGGAAACCACCTTTTTTTTTTTTTTGAGACGGAGTCTCGCTCTTGTTGCCCAGGCTGGAGTGCAGTGGCGCAATCCCAGCTCACTGCAACCTCCGCCTCCTGGGTTCAAGCGATTCTCCTGCCTCAGCCTCCCTAATAGCTGGGATTACAGGCACCCGCCACCATATCCGGCTAATTTTTTGTATTTTTAGTAGAAACGGGATTTCACCATGTGAGTCAGGCTGGTATCAAATCCTGACCTCAGGTGATCCGCCCACCTCAGCCTCCCAAACTGCTGGGATTACAGGCGTGAGCCACGGCGCCCCGCCAGGAAACCACTATTCTTAACTCTTAACAGCAAAGATAACTTATGCCTGCTTTCAAAATTTCATAATTGAAATCATAACATGTATATTCTTATATATCTTTCTTTGTTTAATATCATATTTGTTAGATTTTTATTACATACTGTGTATAATATTTTTTCATTGCTTTTAAAACCCCTAGAATCAACACATTATATTTGCTTTAGCCTTTCTACGGTTGCTAGTCATTTTCTTAGACTAGTCTTTGACTATTCTGGGTAAGTCTACTTTGACTATATTGAGTCAGCCTTTCCATGCATGCATGTCTATATTTCTGTTTTGTATATATCTAGGAGTAAAATTACTGAGTAATATTGTATGCTTAATGAATACTACTAAACAGGTATCCACAATGATTTTAGTAGTTTTCATTTCCACACTATCATATGAAAGTTCTTGTTGCTCCATATCTTCATCAAACTTTTTAAAATTTTATCGTTCTGTTTTATTATTGCCCATTGTTATTACAATGCTTTAGTTAACATCACCTTATAAAATATTTACTATACAACAGGAAAAGATAGTTGTCATTCTTTAGAAAATAGATAAATGTGTGGTAAACTGAAATTAGCTTATAGCTAAATATGAACAGATTCTCTGTCTTTAGTTTCTTATTCATAAGCTTATCTCCAGTATATTGATGTGAAAATAGAAAATGAACTTATACAGACTCAGAAAAGTACAATTGTAATGAATAAGAAAGTAGAAGACATTTTACTGTCTGAAAAGCTGCAGTAGCTAAGAAATTTTGAAAAATCTTTTTAGTTTTTCATGCATTAAGTAGATTACACCATCAACAGCACCTACAGGCACAAACCTACTGGTTACGTGTAATCAATTCAATAATCATGAGTCATTTGTTAGTCAGAATATAGCATATAATGGTGTATTCAGTATAGTATTAGTTATTCTGATAATTTTCTTTTAAAATTTTAAGGTATTTTTATATTCATAACATCTTATATTAGTGTTCATTGGGTGTAGTATACAACAAGTCATCTTAAAGTGGGTGGTGGTGTAAAATATTTAGTATAGGAAATCAGGAATCTATTTTTCTCTTCCTTATTTCTTTTTCTTTTTTTCTGTTTTATTGGGATATAATTGACAAATATAGGCTAGTCATATTTAAGGTGTACAACTTGATGCATTGATACATGTGTACATTGTGAAATTATCACCACAACCAAACTAGTTAACATGTATTCTTTATTCATTTATGTGTTGGCAGACATTTACATTGTTTGCATATCGTGGCTACTGTGAATCATGCTTCAATGAACATGGGAGTGCAGATATCTCATTGAGATACTGATTTCATTTTCTTTGGTTCTATACCCCAAACCGAGATTGCTGGAGTATATGGTAGTTTTTTAAGTTTTTTGAGAAACCTCCATACTGTTTTCCAAAATGGCTGTACCAATTTACATTCTCATCAACAGTGTACAAGGATTCCCTTTTCTCCACATCTTCGTGAACACTGGTTTTTTTGTCTTTTTAATAATAACCATTTTAACAGGTATGAAGTGATATCTCCTTGTGATTTTAATTTGTATTTCTCTGAGGATTAGTGACATTGAGCACATTTTATATACTGTTGGCCATTATATGACTTCTTTGAAGAAATGTCTATTCAGTTTCTTAACCCATTTTAAAAGCCAGTTATGTGTTTTTTATCGAGATGTTTGAGTTCCTTGTATATTTTGGATTTTATCCACTTACCAAATTTATGGTTTGCAAAACTTTATTCCCATTTCATAGGTTGTCTTTTCACTCTGTTGATTGTTTCCTTTGCCGTGCAGAAGCTTTTTAGTTTGATGTAATCCCACTTTTCTATTTTTCTAAAAATGTCTATTCTTTTGGTGTCATATGCAGTCATTGCCCAGACCAATGTCAAGACCAATCCTTTTTATGTTTCTATTCAGAAATTTTACAGTTTCAGATCTTACATTTATGTCTTCAATCCATTTTGAGTTAATTTTTTATATAAGATGTGAGATAGGAGGACAATATCATTGTGGATATTCAGCTCCCAAAACTATTTATTGAAGAGGCTGTGCTTCCACCATTGCATTTTCTTGACAACTTTGTTGTAGATGAGTTGAATGAAAATGCTTATATTTATCTTTGGGCTCTCTATTCTATTTTATTAGTCTATATGTCTTTTAAATTTAATGCAGTACCATATTGTTTTTATGATTTCATCTTTGTAATATAATTTCAAATCAGAAAGTGTGATGCCTCCAACTTTGTTCCTTTCAAAATCACTTTGGCTATTTTGTGTCTTTCATGGTTTCAGATGAATTTTGGGGTTCTTTTTTTATTTTTGTGAAAAATGCCATTGGCGGATAAGGATGGCATTGTTCACTTTTGGTATTATGGGCATTTAACAATATTAATGTATCCAATCCATGGACACAGCATATATTTCTATTTACATATGTCTTTGTCTTCTTTTGTTTATTTTATCAATGTTTTATAATATTCAATATACAAGCCTTTCATTTCTTTGGCTAAGTTTATTCCTAAGAATTGTTTGTTGTTGTTGCTATTGCCGATAGGATTGTTTTCTTAATTTTATTTTTGAATAGCTCTTTGTTAGTGTATAGAAACACCACTAAATTTTGTATCCTGTAACTTTACTGATTTTGTTCATTAGTTCTACAGTTTGTTTTTCTGTGAGTCTTTTATGTTTTTATATATGATTATGTCATTTACAAACAGAGATAATTTTGCTTCTTCCTTTGTGATTTGGATAATTTTTATTTTTTTTGTTGTTCTAATTTCTCTGAATAGAAGTGATGTACAGTGGGTATCCTTGCCACATGCTGGACGTTAGAAAAAGAAGCTTTCAGAGTTTCCCCATCTGTTATGCTGTTATCTGTAGGTTTTTAAAATACAGCTTTTAGGCCGGGCGCGGTGGCTCACGCCTGTAATCCCAGCACTTTGGGAGGCCGAGGCGGGCGGATCACAAGGTCAGGAGATCGAGACCATCCCGGCTAAAACGGTGAAACCCCGTCTCTACTAAAAATACAAAAAATTAGCCGGGCGTAGTGGCGGGCGCCTGTAGTCCCAGCTACTTGGGAGGCTGAGGCAGGAGAATGGCGTGAACCCGGGAGGCGGAGCTTGCAGTGAGCCGAGATCCCGCCACTGCACTCCAGCCTGGGCGACAGAGCGAGATTCCGTCTCAAAAAAAAAAAAAAAACACACAGCTTTTATTGTGTTGAGATAAGTTTCTTCTATACCTATTTTGCTGAGTGTTTTTTTAATCATGAATGGATGTTGGATTTTATACATTGCTTTTTTATGCTTCTATTGAGATGAGGATATGGTTTTAAGCTTTCATTCTGTTAATGTGATATATCATTGGTTGATTTGCATATGTTTAACCATTTTTGCATCCAATAATAAATCTTACTTTGTCATGGTATACAATCCTTCTAATGTGCTGTTGGATTCAGTTTTATAGCATTTTATTGATCAGTTTTGCATCTGTATTAATCAGGGACATTAGTCTGTAGTTTTTATTTTTCCTGTGTTTTCTTTGGCTTTGTTATTAAAGGGATGTTTCCTGTCCTCATACAATGAGTATGGAAGTGGTCCCACTTCTTCTATTTTTGGAAGGATTTCAGAAAAAAGGGTATTAATTTTTTGTTGAATGTTTAGTAGAATTCATGCTAAAGCCATCTGGTCCTAGGCTCTTCTTTGTTGAGACTTTTGATTACTGATTCAATCTCTCTCTCTTTTTTTTTTTTTTTTGATCTGTTTAGACTTTCTATTTCTTCTCGAGCCAGTTTGGTACATTATATGTTTCTAGAAATGTATCTATTTTTACTAGATTATCTAATTTGTTGATATATAATTATTTATAATCATCTCTTATGATCTCAGATATCTGTTGTAATGTCTCCTCTTTCTGATTTTGAGTTTTTTTGAAAACATAAAACTTGACAAGTTCTTAGCTAAACTAAGAAAAATGAGAGAAGACTTGCATTTTCATCATATCATCTATGGAAGTCTCCATTTATACAGCAACAAATATGTATTTTGCATACTAAAATTAATTTCAGGGAGGTTATGTTGAGGATAAACACAATTCATTCTATGTTACAAAATGTTTCATCATTCTTTGTCTTTTCCATATTGTGAAGCATTTTTTCACAAAATAAGATTTCTCTCCTTTATTCTCAGTAAGGTTGGAAAAATTCTTTGGTTCAATTAACTGTTATTACTTAGACATGAGCTATATGGACTCAATTATTCTTTCTACAAAACGATATGATATCTATTTAGTTAAGTGTACAATCTAGTAGAATTTAACACATGGAGACAGCAATATAAGGGTATGAATTAAATTATCAAAACCAGTGGAAATAATTCTTGGGTGCTTGGAGAGAAAAAAATAAAAAGAAATCAAACCAAAATGAGGTGCAATTACACATGACATAAAGAAAATTTTTAAACATTTTTTTCATGTGGCAGATTTGAATGACAGATAAAGAAAAGTAGAGCTAATAACAGATGGCACTAAAAAGGACAAAAATTTCTAATGTTGCTTATTTTAACCTCTTCCATTAAAAACAGTTGAAATGGGAACCTATAGAAGTGCAAAACTAGGTGGAACAGAGAAAACAATGCTACAGAAAAAGAGTATGCAGATATGTAGATGTTGAAGGTGTTAAATTGATCAGGCACTGATGATATGTTGAGAAAAATAAGCTAGTAGATTTTGATTCTTGTAATTTATTGAGAATAAGCAAGACAACTGAAGAGTCTTTTAAAGTTAAAATAAAAAACAATGAAAAGTTTATATTAAAAACTACATATTTATGTATGTATTGTGTTTGCGCCTTAATTAACAACAACAACAAAATATCCAGAAAGATTTTCTAATCTGGAAAAAAAGGTCTTAGAATTTTTTTTTTCAAAAATTAAAAAGCCTTGTCATCCTAAATAATGGCTTTGGAAAATACAAGGACAATAATAGGTACAACAGACTTTTATATTAGCAAGATTTTTTATTTTGTTTCACATGTTTATCAATACATTGGGAAAATTCAAACTATTCAAGTGAACTATTCGACTCACAACTAGTTATAGAAGGAGTGTGTACGTGGCTTATCTACAATATTATTATCAACAGTTCAGGGTGAGAATGGAAGACATAATAAGAAATGCTCTGTAGAGACTTGGCCCAGTTCTGTTTAACATTTTCATTCATGACCTAGATAACAACATGGAAAATGTATTCTTTAACTAAAAAAAAAAAAGGTTAGCACACTAAACCATTGTAAAATACTAGAAAAAATAATTAGAAAATATAGGAAAGTGTTTGGTACAATATAAGCCAATATTTAACATGTGGAAATTGGAAAATAATTTTCACTAATATGGCAGTAAAGTAGAGGTATGTATTTCCTGAGTAGAATATAAGTCGAAACTATATTAACTTAATACATTGTTTATAAACCCAGAAAGTGTGTTTGTTGTAATAAAAGCTTATATATTAAACTCTCTTAGACTCATCTTACTTCAGCTGAAGACTCCACTAACTTAAACACATTTTGAAAACTGGAAGTAATTTTTAAAGTATCTGAAGCTGGAAATGAGAGGTTTTAAGAAGATACTAATTATCATGATACTACAAAAATCAGAATATAATAAAATAGATTTAATTGAAATAATTAGTAAAAGAAGAATTCTATGATTTGGGTATTAGAGGTAGGAAGCTTTGTACTCTTCAGTCTGAAAATTTTGAAGATTAGTATTTTTTCAATTTGTGTCTGAGCTCAACTATGTCTGACAGTTGCTTTTAGCTTTATAACCCAGCATAGTCATACCATTTTTAATAAAACACCCAGAGATGAAACCCCTTTGTGTTGATTCCGTTTCACCGCTTGATAGCTGTGGGTTGGAACAATTTTAAGATGACCTCCAGTGACTCTCCCTTGTACAATCCTCTCTCCTTGAGTGTAAACAGGACTGGTTATTTCTTGTAACCAATAAAATGTCACAAAGATAAAGGGATTGTACAGATGCACTGAAGTTCTAAGTCGGCTGACTTTAAGTTAATTAAATTATATATTAGTTGAGGCAGATCATTTAAATTAATCAAAAGGTGAGCCCTTTATAAAAGGATCTAGAAGTGGGCTGCAAGGAAATGAACTCTGACAACAACCTGAGGGAACTATGAAGCTACTCTTTTCCCCATTCAACTTCCTGGTGAGAATGTAGCCTGCCCAGCCTTAATTTTAGTCTCGTGAAATCCTAAGAAGAAGGTCCAACTATACCATGCCAGGATTCCTAATACAAGGAAATGTGAAAAAAATAAATGTGTGTAGCTTTTGCTACTAGAGGAAATTAGTTATGCAACATAGAAAACTAATATAGGAGGTTTGGTCTAGTAAAAACCTAAGAACTTAAGACAATTAGCTTAACATCTCACAAACAAATGTAGTCCCACTTCTTCATGTTTACCTGGCAAAGCAAAATGGGATCACATTATATTCTACACTACCCTATCAATTCAAATGATAAATGATTTATTTAAAAAGTGTTCTATAAATTTAAGTGCAAGCTCCTAATGAAAAGCTTCTTTGTGTGCACAGCTGTGACTTTGTAAACCCATCTTCAGGTTCTTTCTTTACTCTGTCCAGGCACATTTACTTCTGATTCCATCTTTGCTCTCTGATTTCCCTTTGCATTTGTACTTTAGATCTTCCCTTGTTTCTGTTAATGCTTTATACCAATTTGTATTTTCCAGGACTCAATCTCTCACCATGGCAGCCTCACTTCTGTTCACTTCCATTCCCATATGTTTTCAGAAATTAAAGTCAGACAAAATCCTACAGATAATTCAACTAATCTACTTCATGGTTGAAATTTTGTATGCATCACTTTCTGTTCTCTCTCCATCTGCCACTGGTCATAAAATTCCATGTCATGTAATGCTCCAATACCTCATCATAAAAATTGAGGTCTATTTTGTTTTGTGTACTTTCAGGAAGATATCTTAATAAGGATGAAGTGTCACACGTTGACACTCTTTGCAGGCTGTTCATTTAGAGCATCTTTCTTAAATATTTATTATGTATCTAGGTAGTAGAAGCAGTGGGTGTCAGAAAGGTTTATTTATTTATTTATTTATTTATTGTAAGAATAATAAATTTCCATTTGAGGGAAATTTAAGAAAGTTAAGAAGTTGAAATATTTGATACAATCCAGGTCAACACAGGAAAATGGTGAAGTCAGAGAATCATTTCTTTACTTTGGTGTCCTTGCCCATATTATGCCCATTGTCAGCAACTGTAACCACTTTAGTTTCCTTGCCCTCTGAAGTTCTCAACGTCAGAAACAAGTAACAGTTAGGAATCATTCATTCTTGTGTCTTGAAAAGCTGATTACATTTTAGTCTGAGTAAGATATATTAAAAATGTGCCTCTCATACTTGTCCATTTTAGTCTTTGCATGTATATTAGTCAGGGTTCTTCAGGGAATCAGAACCAGTAGGAGATGTGTGTGTGTGTGCGTGTGTGCGCGCATGTGTGTGTGTATGTGCATGTACACACACGTATATCCACACCCAGAGAGAAAGATTTATTATCAGGAATTGGCTTACACATTATGGAGGCTGACAAGTCCTAAGATCTGAGGTTAGCAAGCTATAGACCCAGGAGAACCCAGGGTTTAGTTCTAGACTCCTGAAGGCCTGCAGTCTTGAGACCCAAGAAGAGTTAATGTTTTATTTGAAGTCCAAAGGCAGAAAAAAAAAAAAGACAAAAAATAAAAAATAAAAAACAAAAAACCTGTGTCTTAACTCCAGGCAGTCAGACAAGAGAAAATAACCTTTTCTTTAAAGGAGCATTTTTATTATTCTTATGTATAGAAAACTCAACAGTATATATTTAACCCAGTTTGTAGTGGCAAATTTTTTTAGTCCTTGCCTTTTCCAGCACCAGTGTGGGCCACAGATTTAGAGCTCGGGACCTTGCCTCCGCTGTGATGGCAGATTTCATCATATCTGTCATTGTAATTGGTCCTGATAGCTTCCATTAGCTTAGCCAAAGCTCCTTTTTCTTTTCAGTTAACCTATGTGAAGATGACAGTGGTGCAGGTCTTCCTGTGCATTAGATGTCACAGTCTTGCCTTCCCTGTGATAGTTTGGTAATGGACCCCCATTTTACAACACAAGGCAGAGAGGAAAACAACTGGCTCGATGGGATCTGTGTCATGTGCAATCATCACAAGCTGAAACTTCTTGGTCTCTACCAAGGTGGTGACAGTTAACCCCTGCTCAAAGGACAAGTGATCTCTTAGTGGGGACATCCTCTTTGCCAGCAACTTTCTTCTCAGCCCAGGCCAACAGTCTCTGCTTCTTCCAGCACTTTGTTTCTGGTCTGTACTTGTGGGCCAGCTTAAGCAGCAGAATGACAGCTGGTCGAAGGCCTGGGTGAACAGGTTAATTGCAGGAGGCACTTTCCCACGTTTACAGAGGATAGATCATTGCTGCTGCAACTGGATGTATAGTGGAGTCATTTGACAAAGTAGGTTGGCTGGGCATGGTGGTGCATGCCGGTGATGCACACTTCTAATCCCAGCACTTTGGGAGGCTGAGGTGGGTGGATCATTTGAGGCCAAGAGTTCAAGACCAGCCTGGCCAATATGGCAAAAACACATCTCTACTGAAAATACAAAAATTAGCCAGGTGTGGTGGTGCACAACTGTATTCCCAGCTACTAGAGAGGCTAAGGCACAAGAATTGCTTGAACCTTGGAGGCAGAGGTTGAAGTGAGCCCAGATAGCACCACTGCACTCCAGCCTGGGTGACAGAGAGAGACTATGTCTGAAAAAAAAGACAAAGTAGGTGAGGTCTTGTTTGGTTTGGATGTGCTGTCCAATGGCAAAATTCTTAAGACTTTTCTCAAACACGGAATTTACCACCTTCTTGGCCTCCTGCTTCTTCGTGACACCAGGGGTCAGTCCCACCTTCTTTCCCTTGGCCTTCTTTCCTTTTGTCATCTTAGGTGGCTGAAGGAGAGAGTAACTAAAAACCTTCCTTGTCTTAGACTTTCTGTCATCATACTTTCTCACTCCCTCCATTTCACTGTCGGAAGTAACTCAGATTATTCCTTTAAAGAGTTCTTTTCTAAACAACATCCAAATATTGTTGTTTCTTGAGGATTAGCCTCATGCCCTCTTTATTTCATTCTCTAAACTCTTCCCCCGGTTGCCTTGTCTACTTTCATGGCTTTAAAAGCCATCTTTATGTAGATGTCTTCTAAATTTTAAAAATAATTTTAGATTCAGGTTCAAATTAGATCTGAATTTTAGATTCAGATACTCATTTTAGATTCAGGAGGTACATGTACAGGTTTGTTACCTAGGTATAGTGCATGATGCTGAAATTAGGGATATGATTCGTCTCATCACCCAGGTACTGAGCATAGTATTCAATAGTTAATTTTCTAACACTAGGCCCCCTGGATTCCTCTCCCATATAGTAAGTCCTCATTGTCTATTGTTGACATCTTTATGACCATGAGTACCCAGTGTTTAGCTCCCAATTATAAATGAGAACACGTGATATTTGCTTTTCTGTTCCTGCATCAATTTGCTTATGATAATGGCCTCCAGCTGCATCCATGTTACTGCAAAGGTCATGTAGTAGGCTATTCTTGCCCTGCTATGAAGAAATTCCTGAGACTGGGTAATTAATAAGAAAGCAGGTTTTATTGACCCATGATTCTGCAGGCTGTAGAGGAAGCATATGGCATCTGCTTCTGGGGAGTCCTCAGGAAGTTTCCAATAATGGCAAAAGGTAAAGGGAGTACAGGCACATCACATGGCAAAAGCAGGACTGAGAGAGAGGAGGGAAAAGGTGCCGCATACTTTTAAATGACCAGTTATCATGAAAACTCACTGTCATATAGACAGCACCAAGCCATGAGGGATTCACCTCCATGATGGAAATACATTCCATTAGGCACTGAATAACAATTCAACATGAGATTTGGGCAGGGACAAATATCCAAGCTATATCAGAACAAAATTTCATTCTTTTTGTGGCTGCATAGTATTCCCTGGTATATATGTACCACACTTTTTAAATCCAATCTGCCACTGATGGGCACCGAGGTTGACTGCACGTCTTTGCTTTTATGAATAGAGCTGTGATGAACGTAAGAGTTCATGTGTCTCTTTGGTAGAATAATTTATTTTCTTTTGGATATATAACCTGTAATGGGATTGCTAAATCAAATATATTTTCTGTTTTAAGTTCTTTGAGAAATCTCCAAATTGTTTTCCACAGTGGCTGAACTAATTTACATTCCCCTCAAGAGTGTATAAATGTTCCCTTTTCTTATTGAGAATAGGCCCCCAAATCTGGCCATAAACTGGCCCCAAAACTGGCCATAAACAAAATCTCTGCAGCACTGTGACGTGTTCGTGATGGCCATGATGCCCACGTTGAAGGTTGTGGGTTTACCGGAATGAGGGCAAGGAACACCTGGCCCACCCAGGGCAGAAAACCGCTTAAAGGCATTCTTAAATCACAAACAATGGCATGAGTGATCTGTGCCTTAAGGACATGCTCCTGCTGCAGATAACTAGCCAGAGCGCATGCCTTTGTTTCAGCCCATCCCTTTGTTTCCCATAAGGAATACTTTTAGTTAATCTGTAATCTATAGAAATAATGCTTATCACTGGCTTGCTGTCAATAAATATTTGGGTCAAACTCTCTCCAGGGCTTTCAGCTCCGAAGGCTGTGAGTCCCCTGATTTCCTACTCCACACTCTGTATTTCTGTGTGTGTATCTTTAATTCCTCTAGCACCACTGAGTTAGGTTCTCCACAACTGAGCTGGTCTCAGCATTTTCTCCACAGCCTCACTAAAATATGTTGTTTTTTGACTTTTCAATAATAGCCATTCTGACTAGTGTGACATGATATCAAATTATGGTTTTTATTTGCATTTCTCTAATGATTAGTGATGTTGAGCATTTTTTCATATGTTTGTTGGCTGCTTGTATTTCTTTTTTTGCGAAGTGCTTGTTCATGTATTTTGCTCATTTTTATTGGGGTTATTTGTTTTTTGCTTGCTCAACTGTTTTAAGTTCCTTATAGATTCTGGATATTTGTCCTTTGTCAAATGCATAATTTGTGAATATTTTCTCCCATTTCATAGGTCATATGTTTACTCTACTGAAAGTTTTTCTTTGCTAGCAGAAACCCTTTAGTTTAATTATGTCCTACTTGTCAGTATTTGTTTTTGGTAAAATTAAGGCAGAAATACAGCAATTCCTTGAAATAAATGAAAGTGGAAACACAACATACCTGAATTTCTGGGAAGAATCAAAAGTGGTGTTAAAAGGAAATTTTAGCGCTAAATGTGTGCCTCAGAAAGTTTAAAATAGCTCTAATTAATAATCTGACATCATACCTAGAGGAACTAGAAAAACAAGAACAAATTAACCCCAAAGTTAGCAGAAGGAAAGAAATAACTAAAACTGGAGCAGAACTGAATGGAATTGAGACCCCAAAATTCATGCGAAAAATCACTAACTCAAAAGTTTGTTCTTTGAAAAGATAAAAAAAATTGAAAGACTGCTAGCTAGATTGACAAAGAAAAAGAGAGAGATCTAAATAAGCACAATCAGAAATGACAAAGGTGACATTACAACTGATCCAACAGAAATAAAAACGATCCCCAGAGATTATAATAAACACCTCTATGAACACAAACTAGAAAATCTAGAGGAAATGGATAAATCCTTGGAAACATACAATCTCCCGAGATTGAATTAAGAAGAAATTGAAACCCTGAACAGACTAATATCAAGTTCTGAAATTGAATCAGTGAATTTCAAAAAACTATCAACTAAAAAACTCTGGACCAGATAGATTGACAATCCAGTTCTACCAGATATACAAAGAAGAACTAGTACCAATTTCACTGAAGCTATTCCAAAATATTGAGCAGGAGAGACTCCTCCCTAACTCATTCTACAAAGTCAACGTCACCCTCATACCACAACCTAGCAAAGACAAAATGAAAAAGAAAAATACAGGCCAATATTCCTTATAAACATAGACACAAAAATCCTCAACAAAATACTAGCAAACCAAATTCATCAGGACATCAAATATTTAATTTACCATAATCAAGTGGTATTCATTCCTGGGATGCAGGTTGAATCAACACATACAAATCAATAAATGTGACTCACCCCATAAACAGAAGTAAAAACAAAATCCATATGATCATCTCAACAGATGTGAATAAAGCTTTCAATTAAATTCAACATCTCTTCATGATAAAAGCCCTCAAGAAACTAGACATTGAAGGAACATACCTAAAAACAATAAGAGCCATCTGTGGCAAACTTACAACAAACATCATACTGAATGGACAAAAGCTGTGAAGACTAAGCTCTGATTTTTTTTATCTTGCCCAAATTCCTGTCTAAGGGGTCTGGAGAGTCATGCCCTACAAACCATAAATTCTCATCAGATGGGTTTTATTTAACCCTATATATTGTGGCTTACTTTCCAATCTGACTCTGGCATAACATTATGTGACAAAGAAGAAAGTCAAAATATTTTACCCCAAAACACGTTTCTTTGCCATATCTTGAAATGGCCCTGCAAAGCTATCCTTTGTGGGGGGAAAATTTGCATCTGTAAAGAATCTCTATAAACATAGCGTCATCTTTTTCTTCCAGGCCCTCCCAATCCTAAAGAGATTAATTAAGAGTGTAGAACCTTTTAAAGATCTGAATAGGAAACATTTGTCATCTATTGTCTCTAAGGGCAGCCACTATAAGACTTAAAAAGAACCTTGGTCTCCACAATCTTTTATCTTAACCTAAGCATTTTCTTTCTATGAATCCCAGGTCTTTAGACAAACTCAACCAATTGTCAACCAGAAAATGTTTAAACTTCCCTAAAGCCTTGAGCACGCACCAATTACCAACCACCCCCCACCCTTGCCCCGGGCCCATCACTTTGAGTTGTCCCACTTTTCTGGACCAAACCAATGTATTTCTTAAATGTGTTTGATTGAAGTCTCATTCTTCTCTAAAATATATAAAACCAAGCTGCTGTAGGGCCACCTTGGGCACATGTTCTCAGGACCTCCTGAGGGCTGTGTGATGGCTGTGGTCACTGTCACTCATATTTGGCTCAAAATAAATCTCTTCAAATATTTTACAGAGTTTGACTCTTTTCATCAACAACTGAAAGCATTCCCTCTACGAATTGGAAAAACATAAGTATGCCCACACTCACTACTCTTATACAACAGTAATGGAGGTCCTAACCAGAGCAATCAGGCAAGAGAAAGAAATATAAGCTATCTATATAGGAAAAGAAGGAGTAAATTGTTTCTCTTTGCTGACAATATGATCCTACAGCTAGAAAACTCTAAAGACTCCACCAAGAGGCTCTTGTGACGGATAGATGACTTCAGTAAAGTCTCAGATACAAAATCAATGTACAAAAATCAGTAGCATTTCTATACACCAATAAAGTTCAAGTTGAGCACCAAATCAAGAATAAAATCTCATTTACAATAGCTGCAACAACAAAAAAGTTCCTAGGAGTACATCTGTCTAAGAAGATGAAAGATATATACATGGAAAACTACAAACACGCTGCTGAAAGAAATAACAGATGGCACAAACAAATGGGAAAATATTTCAGGTTCATGTATTAAATGAATTAATATTGTTAAAATGGCCATACTTCCAAAACCAATCTACAGATTCAGTGCTATTCCCATCAAACAACCAATGACATTTTCCACAGAATTATAAAAACTACTTTAAAATTTGTAGGGAACCAAAAGGAGTCCAAATAGTCAAAGCCATCTGAAGCAAAAAGAACAAAGCTGGAGACATCACATTTCCCAACTTCAAACTATACTATAAGACTGCAGTAACCAAAACAGCATTGTATTGGTACAAAAACAGACACACAGACCAATGGAATGAAATACCGAACCTAGAAATAAAGCTGCACAACTACAGTTATCTGATATTTGATGAAGTAAATAAAAATAAGCAATGGGAAAGGACTGGACTCTCTATGTAATAAATGGTGCTGGGATAGCTGGCTAGCCATATGCAGAAAAATGAAAATGGACCTCTATTTTTAACATACAAAAATTAATTCAAGATAGATTAAAATTTCAGTGTAAGACCTCAAACTATTTGACTTCTAAAAGACAATCTAGGAAACACCATTCTGGACATTGGCCTTGGTAATAAATTTATAAAAATTTCCCTTTACTTTTTACTTGAAGGAATGCCAGCCTTTCATTTTACCTAGGGCTTCAACTAGTAGTATGTGGTCTGCCTGAAAAGGCAATATGCTTTACTTAGTCTACCCATCAACTGGCTGTTTCATCCAGGAACTCCCTCACAGGCACACTTAGAATAATGATTGATTAAATACCTGGGCACCTTCACAATCACATTGACACATAAAATTCACCAGCACAATGTGTGCATGCATTAAAAATAATGTCAGATATTTATAAGTTAGTTGAATTTGAAAAGAGCTGAGAATAATCTAAAATTAGATTTAATGGTAAACCCCTTTTTTCTTACTTTTTCTTTCCCTATCTTCCTTTCCTTTCTTTCATTCAACATAATTTATTGGGACACTACTAAGAACCAAAAATACTTGGATGAATAGAATATAAACTATTACTATAAATTCTACAAAATACAATGAATATTATGAAAGGCTTTAGTCAAGTTTTTGTGGAGTCTCAGAAGAGAATGACCCTAACTCTGTATAGAGATGCCAGAGTATTTTTCCCCAGGGCATAAATAGAAAAGGTCATTTAAGAGAGAAGAAGCTTCTCCCAACACTCAGCTTTTCCCAACAGTTAAGAGCTTTCTATTTTATGCAATGGCATTTGAACTTTGTCCTATATGCAAGTGGAGTCTTAAAGGTATACTTAGCATAGAGAAATATCATAATTATGAATTTTAGAAACACACCTCTGCCTGGGGAGTGGGGAAGTTGAGAACAAACTGAAGAGCATATTGAAACTAAAGGCTTATGAAACCTGTTTTTTTTTCTGTAAGACATTGTAATAATCAAGGTAAGACACAAAAAGCAAAAATGATAATGACAAAGAAGAGACCAAACTAAAATAGACTGATACAGAAGCACAGTGATACGGATATAAATGCTAAAGTAAATGAATGAATCTCTGCCACCCATATTTCTGAATTGAGCAGTCACATTAATCAGGAAATCTTTTGCCAAAGTGAAAGATTCAGGAAGGGAAAGGTTTTGAAAAGGCTAGGTAACTAGTTTAATGATGGACACTTGAGTTAAATAACATGAGTTGGTGGGTATTCTGTAGGAACTCACCAGAGAATTTGTAATTGTGACTATGGATAAGGTTGATGAAGGAGAGTATATAAAGTGACAAGAGGGGAAGGCCAATAGTACAACCTCAGGGAACACCAACTTTTGTGGGACAGGCTGCAGAAGAAAAATCAAGAGAGAGACTGAGAAACAGAGATAAGAGTGGTAAGAAACGCATGAAAAACAACCCCCCCAAAAGTGATGCAAAGCAAAGAAAATGTTTCCAGATTAACAATGTTTCAGTGTAGACATGTTGGACATTTCAAGAAAGAGGATGACTAAAATCATGTTTTGATATTGCTTTAGATTTAATCTTAGCAAAATATTTGCACAAAGGTGTTAAAGATTATGCAAATATGCAGGGAATCAAGAGTGGGAGGTGAAGGATGAAGAAGAACAAGGAAGACAGACTATTGTTGGGAATGAATAGGTTAAAGTCAGAGAGTGATATAAAGTTGAGGGATAGTATTCATTAAAAATGGAAGAAAGATCAATGGACTCTATTTTAAGCCTATCTCTTTCCTCTCCTCCCTAATTATTGCATGGGCTCCATGAATCCTCATTGGGTTAATTCTCTGTCTCTGGACTCTGATTAATTTTTCACATTTTCAAATAGATTTAAAATATCTACTCAATATTTAATGATACATTGGTTAACAATGCCTTATCTGGTAACAATTTTCAATAACATCATATTTTGGCAACAAATTCTCTGTTACTGATATTGACATTTAAATTTTTTATAAAGAAGAAAAAATAACATTCAAACAAAGATAAAATTTAAGGGTCTTAGCTACTTGAAACTGGCTGATCATCAGTGACTATGTCACCCTACATCATTCCAAACTGATATAGCAGATGTATCTTGAGTCCCTAGAGAGTCTGAAAAGGAGAATTAAAACAATGCCTGTTTTTTTTTTTTATTACTGAGACATATTGCAAACAAGGCTGTTTTCCTCACTTCTAAACATCTATGGCCACCTTCCATTTGTTAACTTCATTTTGGAATGGTTTCATTACTCTTATATATTTATTCCTCCATGCCTCCTTCTTTTGGCTGCCCATGTGTTTAAACCCATTTTCTAAAAGAATGTTTTGTTTGTTAAGCATGGCTTACAAAATAAAACGTACAAACTACAGCCCTAAAATGAATAAAGGATTTTCCCTCCAGTAGCCACTTTTCCCTTTATATGTCCTTTTTGCAGTAATAGGCAGTGTTAAGTGAATTGAGGTTTCTGGATTTTTCTTTCATGACATTATATACCTTTTTCCCCATTAGAAAAGTAATTTGTATCTAGGGATTAAAAATACAGTCATTGCTTTGACATATATGTGTCAGTTAGATATTTCCATCCTAAATTAGGCAAGAGTTGGAGAGACATACACTTCTAGCTTTACATTCTCCACATGGTATAACCCAGGAGTGGGAGTATTTGAAACCCAGAGAATAAAAATTGTCTCACATTCAGCGTGAATTGAGTAAGTTGGGTGGCAAATTCTTACTGTCATACTTATTTGTTCTGATATACTTGTCTGGAATACATCATTTCCCTGTTGTCATTGCTTTAGTTTAGAACTTTGGTTGCTGTGTTATTATTGTATAAGGCAATGCTTCTTTGAACCTATATTTAGTGTCCAGAATTTTTGTTAAAAAAGCAGCTATTTATGTGCACAGTCACTCAATGTATAGTGTGTGAAAGAATAAGGAGTAATTTAGAAGCAAAGACATATGCTGTTATTCTGCAAGGAGCAAAAGATATTTCTGGAAAATCTATTTCAACAGGGGACTTAGGAAGCTCGTCAACTTATAGCCATTGCTAAATTCAGTAAACAAGCTGTTCTCCATCAAAATATTTAGGAGACAGTAGACAAAAGGATGTCCTTACATTTTTTTTAAAGAGTAGTTAAGACATCTGACTCAAACAGTGAACCACAGGGAGAGCGATATTGCTGAGGAATTGAAGCTTATCCTTGTAGTATATTCCATGAAAAGAAAACAGAAAAGGATACTATGAAAAAATATTTAAGAGGAAAACTATCAGTAAACTATTTCATAAGTAAATAGAAGACTCTCTTGATTTATTTAGAATTTTGATAGTAAAATTATTTCTTCTAAATATACTTACAATTTAAAATATCTTTATACTAATCAAATTTTAACTGAAAAGCAAACAATGAAAATTGTTTGACTCTGTCATCCTATGAAAGGAATTAGCTATAGAAAAAAGTATGAAAAGTACTAACTGGCCACATAATCTCTCATTTTCATAGAAAAGTTCTCATTTTAATGTCATATAGTCAATTAAGCAATTTAATTATAGAGTAGTTAAAACAATAACTAATGCAAAAAATAAATCATGGAATAAAGCAATAGAATAGAACTGCTAAAATTTTGCATGAACCACATTTAGATTTGAATTTGACTTACAAATAAAGACTTGTGCATGAAAAGGAAAAATACTTCAAGCTTTTTTCCAGCCTACACACTAATATTTATGTGTGAATTAAAACTACATTAAATAAAATAAAAGAGCTAAATTGACCTGACAAAATTTTTAATGTTTATTTTAGTATAAAATAATAAGAAACAGTTATATTTATTTTATTTTGATATGCCAATTCCAAGCTGTGGTGAAAATAACATATTTTAATATACTGTAATACTCACGTATTTAGAAAAATCTTAAGTAATCTTTAATATAAAAATTAGAATGTTCATATTGAAATATGTGTTCAGCATCAACAATCGCTTTATATAAATAAGACTAACTATATAAAAATATGTTGCACTTAAAAAGAAAAATCAGACACTTAATTATAGAATAGCTAACAGGATATTTTGAACATAATATATTGGAAAGAATAGCTTACCCAAGTGGCTAATGCAGGTACTACAGGATTTATGAGGATGTTTATTATTTATCAGAGAAATATGATGGATTTTCTTTTCTGAATCCAAGACATAGAATTTTTTTCCATATGTCTTGCAAATATGATTAAAGAATAATTTAAAAATCACAGCAATAGCATGTACATATTGTTTGCTTTTGTAAAAAATACATATAAAGACCTCTAAACACATTTTCCAAAGATTTTTGTGTGTGTGCTTTGTGTTCTCTAGGCTTCTGAAAAAACAAAAACAAAATTTAAAGCTTGAGGTCTAAATTATAAAGCAATATAATAAAGTAAATATAATTGATTTACATTAGTTTTTAAACTAAAAGTAAACTATCAGTGTTTATAAATTTCTTGTAGGTGAATCTGTCCTGTCTAAAATGTCATTCATCAATTAGACTGTTATCCTTGTCAAATTAATATTAATGTGGTTTTGACATTTCTAATTCTCATTTATACGCTATCCTCAACCCCCATAGGAAGTATCTAAGCATGCTAATAATTAGCCATACCCTATAATTATAGAATTTGAAACTGAAAAGCAAATGCACATGATACTTATAGCAGCAAAATAATAATAATAAAAGTTATTTATACCGTATATTATTACATTCATGCTTCCCTTAGTAAAGAGAACATGGTCTAAGAAATTTGTCTTTAGAAAATTTTGTTGTAGTGTCAACATTATGGGGTGTACTTACACAAACCTAGATAGTATAGCCTATTACGCACTTAGGCTATGTGATATAACCTATTGCTTCTAGTCTACCAACCTGTACAGCATGTTACTGTACTGAATACCATAGGCTATTACAACACAATTGTAAGTACTTGTGTACCTAAACATATCTAAATATAGAAAATATATAGTAAAAATACAGTATTATAATCTTATGGTACCCCCATTGTATGTGCTGTCTATTGTTGACCAAAATATCATTTTGTGGCACATGACTATATATGCAGAGAAATTAAATTGTTTCCCAAAAGTACACAAATACATTTAAATGGCCTAAATGACATCCATTGAAGACTATTCATATATGCAGTGTATCAGTACACTGCATTAAAATATTTATGTCATTTTTTGGCTTGGATTCAGGTATTAATAGTCTTAATTAAATATTTCTGTAAATTTGTCTGCTCTAGGATCCTACTCTGTTAATAAAACTGATAATTAGTTTGTGTACTTGGCAAAATGTTTCTCATCTTTCTTGCAATCTATAAAGTGCAATGTAGAGATCTGGGTTCATGTTCTTGGCTTTGAGAAAAGATAGGATGGAACTAAATTTGAAAGACATCTGTAGAATGATAAGCCTAACTCTGAGGAGATAGGGTGGCTGCAAGACCTTAACATAACCAGTAATAATGTATGTATACTGACCTCTTAATGGGCTGTTACTGAACTTATGTGGAAATGAATCTTACTTAAGTGATGCCACATTTTCCTTAAGAAAGAGAGCTTGGGAAATTAAAACAGCATGATGTTCCGATTCCTATCTATTGTGTTTTGCTACTTTATTTTTAAAGTTAACAATTTTTCCAGTCTGTAATTTTAATGTCTAATGAACATGTTATAAATAACTTTATTTCTTCTCTCTCCAGGTATTTAATTATTAAACAGCATAGTGGTCTTTGTACTATTTTCCTTTTATATTTTATAATGATATTAACCCTGCTAGGACAATTATTTTAGGTATTGTCCCCAAAGTTCATGTAACTCATTTTAACATAAAATTAGTAGTCCTCACAATTATATGCTTCTTCAACACCATCCATCTTTAATAGTTTAGCGTAGGTGAAATCTACTGACATTTAAAGTGTGATTCATGCTACTTGCATTCCAGGTAAGGGTATTGTCTGTCTGCCTGTCAAATACGCCCTTAACCTTGAACTCAGCTGGATATCCTTACCCTTGCACTTCACTGTATATAATACAGTCTATGTAGAAATTCAGATACCTGAAATAGTCCCAATGCCTTTATTTCATGGAATGCTGAAATGTTCTCATGGCTCTCCATAGTCATTCCTCCTCTGCAATGTTTCATATGGACTTTCAAAATAGAAATAAAAAGATGCAGAATTTAGATTTAGTTAATTTACATAAGAAAGGCTTTCCATGTCAATTATTATACCTTTTTTTTTTTTCTCTCAAGATTGAAAAGGTCTGGAAGTGTAAGTTGTCATTATTTCTTATCTAAGCTAGGCAAAAAACATCAAATGGAGTTAGTACAAACTAAGTTTTAAAAAATGTATACATTCACTTATTCATTCAATTGTTGAATTTAAATAAAAGTCTATCAATTTCCAGGAACTGAGAAAGTCACTGGAATGTTCAGCAAATCACTTGAATTTTAATTCTGTAACCTTTAATGACTAAATTTATAGAAAACTGGGGTGATCAGAGAAGAAAGTAAAAAAAAAAATAAAAGATCACATAGTAGGTACTAAGTAAATAGTAAGTAGTAATGTAAACTTTTCAGAATAATGGTTAAGAGTACAGATTTAGTGGTATTCACTGGCTGTATGTACTTAGACAAAATATAAAATGAAAATATAATATTATCTTTCTCATAAAATTGTTGAGGTTTCAATGACTTAATATATATAAAGTAGTTTTCCCAATCTGTGGTTTTGCTTTATGCAGTCAACTATGGTCTGAAAGTCTTAAATTAAAAAATCTAAAAATAAACAATTTATAAAATTGTGTGTGATCTTGAGGAGCATGATGAAATTTCACGTCATCCTGTTCCATTTTGCCTTGGATGTGAATTACCCCTTTGTCTAGCATATTCACACTGTAGTTACTACCTGCCCTTAGTCGCTTAGTAGTTAAATGTCTTTTTAAAAATTGGGAATACAAATGGACAGTTATGACTTTTATTAAATTACTCTTTGTGATTGCGTTAATTATTTGTACCATGAAATTCCAAGTAAAGTACAAAGAAGAACAAAGGAAACATGTTTTATACACAAAAAAATCAGAGAATTATTTTGAAGCAGTTGTAAAAATATGCAGCAATAATAGGGAATTTCTACTTTTGTGTCTTATCATATGTTCTCCCCTTATATAACCTCACCAAATGGTCTGATATTGTTAGTTTACACATATTTGATTTTGTTTATTATCAGAGCCATTAGAAGCATAAAGACAACATACCTATTTTTGGGGAACTTATTCAGTATTTCAGAGATATTTATAATACATATCCTTTGTAAAGTTTTCACACCTAAAACACATGATATTTGTATGGAAAATTTAACTACTATGTAGTTCTATATTAATAAATTGCTGTTAATTAGTTTTAGGAAACTAATGGTATGATGTTATTTCTGGGGTTTTCCAGGCTGTAGGATTTTACTGTTTCAATTGATCTCCTTCCTGTAACTCTTACAATTAGATTACTGAGAGCTAAGGAAAAATAAACAACTCAGTTAAATATATCTTTCAAACATTTTTAAATGTTCACACTGAATCCTAATTTCTTTTATGTTGCAATCTTATGTGATCGATACAATAAGTGCCTTCGAAGATGTTACTTCACCTCTGTCCCTGGAAGTCTGCACCTAAAGTGCTTTTATTATTATTATTATTATTTTTTTATTATTATACTTTAAGTTTTAGGGTACATGTGCACATTGTGCAGGTTAGTTACATATGTATACATGTGCCGTGCTGGTGTGCTGCACCCACTAACTCGTCATCTAGCATTAGTTATATCTCCCAGTGCTATCCCTCCCCCCTCCCCCCACCCCACAACAGTCCCCAGAGTGTGATATTCCCCTTCCTGTGTCCATGTGATCTCATTGTTCAATTCCCACCTATGAGTGAGAATATGCCATGTTTGGTTTTTTGTTCTTGCGATAGTTTACTGAGAATGATGATTTCCAATTTCATCCATGTCCCTACAAAGGACATGAACTCATCATTTTTTATGGCTGCATAGTATTCCATGGTGTATATGTGCCACATTTTCTTAATCCAGTCTATCATTGTTGGACATTTGGGTTGGTTCCAAGTCTTTGCTATTGTGAATAATGCCGCAATAAACATACGTGTGCACGTGTCTTTATAGCAGCATGATTTATAGTCATTTGGGTATATACCCAGTAATGGGATGGGTGGGTCAAATGGTATTTCTAGTTCTAGATCCCTGAGGAATCGCCACACTGACTTCCACAGTGGTTGAACTAGTTTACAGTCCCACCAACAGTGTAAAAGTGTTCCTATTTCTCCACATCCTCTCCCACACCTGTTGTTTCCTGACTTTTTAATGATCGCCATTCTAACTGGTGTGAGATGGTATTTCATTGTGGTTTTGACTTGCATTCTCTGATGGCCAGTGATGATGAGCATTTTTCATGTGTCTGTTGGTTGCATAGATGTCTTCTTTTGAGAAGTGTCTGTTCATATCCTTTGCCCACTTGTTGATGGGGTTGTTTTTTTCTTGTAAATTTGTTTGAGTTCTTTGTAGATTCTGGATGTTAGCCCTTTATCAGATGAGTAGTTTGCAAAAATTTTCTCCCATTCTGTTGCCTGTTCACTCTGATGGTAGTTTCTTTTGCTGTGCAGAAGCTCTTTAGTTTAATTAGATCCCATTTGTCAATTTTGGCTTTTGTTGCCATTGCTTTTGGTGTTTTGGACATGCAGTCCTTGCCCATGCCTATGTCCTGAATGGTAATGCCTAGGTTTTCTTCTAGGGTTTTTATGGTTTTAGGTCTAACGTTTAAATCTTTAATCCATCTTGAATTGATTTTTGTATAAGGTGTAAGGAAGGGATCCAGTTTCAGCTTTCTACATATGGCTAGCCAGTTTGCCCAGCACCATTTATTAAATAGGGAATCCTTTCCCCATTGCTTGTTTTTCTCAGGTTTGTCAAAGATCAGATAGTTGTAGGTATGCGGCGTTATTTCTGAGGGCTCTGTTCTGTTCCATTGATCTATATCTCTGTTTTGGTACCAGTACCATGCTGTTTTGGTTACTGTAGCCTTGTAGTATAGTTTGAAGTCAGGTAGCGTGATGCCTCCAGCTTTGTTCTTTTGGCTTAGGATTGACTTGGCGATGCGGGCTCTTTTTTGGTTCCATATGAACTTTAAAGTAGTTTTTTCCAATTCTGTGAAGAAAGTCATTGGTGGCTTGATGGGGATGGCATTGAATCTGTAAATTACCTTGGGCAGTATGGCCATTTTCACAATATTGATTCTTCCTACCCATGAGCATGGAATGTTCTTCCATTTGTTTGTGTCCTCTTTTATTTCTTTGAGCAGTGGTTTGTAGTTCTCCGTGAAGAGGTCCTTCACATCCCTTGTAAGTTGGATTCCTAGGTATTTTCTTCTCTTTGAAGCAATTGTGAATGGGAGTTCACTCATGATTTGGCTCTCTGTTTGTGTGTTGTTGGTGTATAAGAATGCTTGTGATTTTTGCACATTGATTTTGTATCCTGAGACTTTGCTGAAGTTGCTTATCAGCTTAAGGAGATTTTGGGCTGAGACAATGGGGTTTTCTAGATATACAATCATGTCGTCTGCAAACAGGGACAATTTGACTTCCTCTTTTCCTAATTGAATACCCTTTATTTCCTTCTCCTGCCTAATTGCCCTGGCCAGAACTTCCAACACTATGTTGAATAGGAGTGGTGAGAGAGGGCATCCCTGTCTTGTGCCCGTTTTCAAAGGGAATGCTTCCAGTTTTTGCCCATTCAGTATGATATTGGCTGTGGGTTTGTCATAGATAGCTCTTATCATTTTGAAATACGTCCCATCAATACCTAATTTATTGAGAGTTTTTAGCATGAAGGGTTGTTGAATTTTGCCAAAGGCTTTTTCTGCATCTATTAAGATAATCATGTGGTTTTTGTCTTTGGCTCTGTTTATATGCTGGATTAAATTTATTGATTTGCGTATATTGAACCAGCCTTGCATCCCAGGGATGAAGCCCACTTGATCATGGTGGATAAGCTTTTTGATGTGCTGCTGGATTCGGTTTGCCAGTATTTTATTGAGGATTTTTGCATCAATGTTCATCAAGGATATTGGTCTAAAATTCTCTTTTTTGGTTGTGTCTCTGCCCGGCTTTGGTATCAGAATGATGCTGGCCTCATAAAATGAGTTAGGGAGGATTCCCTCTTTTTCTGTTGATTGGAATAGTTTCAGAAGGAATGGTACCAGTTTCTCCTTGTACCTCTGGTAGAATTCAGCTGTGAATCCATCTGGTCCTGGACTCTTTTTGGTTGGTAAACTATTGATGATTGCCACAATTTCAGCTCCTGTTATTGGTCTATTCAGAGATGCAACTTCTTCCTGGTTTAGTCTTGGGAGAGTGTATGTGTCCAGGAATTTATCCATTTCTTCTAGATTTTCCAGTTTATTTGCGTAGAGGTGTTTGTAGTATTCTCTGATGGAAGTTTGTATTTCTGTGGGATTGGTGGTGATATCCCCTTTATCATTTTTTATTGTGTCTATTTGATTCTTCTCTCTTTTTTTCTTTATTAGTCTTACTAGCGGTCTATCAATTTTGTTGATCCTTTCAAAAAACCAGCTCCTGGATTCATTGATTTTTTGAATGGTTTTTTTGTGTCTCTATTTCCTTCAGTTCTGCTCTGATTTTAGTTATTTCTTGCCTTCTGCTAGCTTTTGAATGTGTTTGCTCTTGCTTTTCTAGTTCTTTTAATTGTGATGTTAGGGTGTCAATTTTGGATCTTTCCTGCTTTCTCTTGTGGGCATTTAGTGCTATAAATTTCCCTCTACACACTGCTTTGAATGTGTCCCAGAGATTCTGGTATGTCGTGTCTTTGTTCTCGTTGGTTTCAAAGAACATCTTTATTTCTGCCTTCATTTCGTTATGTACCCAGTAGTCATTCAGGAGCAGGTTGTTCAGTTTCCATGTAGTTGAGCGGCTTTGAGTGAGATTCTTAATCCTGAGTTCTAGTTTGATTGCACTGTGGTCTGAGAGATAGTTTGTTATAATTTCTGTTCTTTTACATTTGCTGTGGAGAGCTTTACTTCCAAGTATGTGGTCAATTTTGGAATAGGTGTGGTGTGGTGCTGAAAAAAATGTATATTCTGTTGATTTGGGGTGGAGAGTTCTGTAGATGTCTATTAGGTCCGCTTGGTGCAGAGCTGAGTTCAATTCCTGGGTATCCTTGTTGACTTTCTGTCTCATTGATCTGTCTAATGTTGACAGTGGGGTGTTAAAGTCTCCCATTATTAATGTGTGGGAGTCTAAGTCTCTTTGTAGGTCACACAGGACTTGTTTTATGAATCTGGGTGCTCCTGTATTGGATGCATATATATTTAGGATAGATCTTCTTGTTGAAAAAGGTTGTGTTTTGCACGGTGTGTGTGTGTGTGTGTGCGTGTGTGTGATTCCATTGACTGTGCAGTCATGCACAGTATAACAATGCAACCCCTGCCTTTTTTTGTTTTCCATTTGCTTGGTAGATCTTCCTCCATCCTTTTATTTTGAGCCTATGTGTGTCTCTGCACGTGAGATGGGTTTCCTGAATACAGCACACTGATGGGTCTTGACTCTTTATCCAATTTGCCAGTCTGTGTCTTTTAATTGGAGAATTTAGTCCATTTACATTTAAAGTTAATAATATGTGAATTTGATCCTGTCATTATGATGTTAGCTGGTTATGTTGCTCGTTAGTTGATGCAGTTTCTTCCTAGTGTTGATGGTCTTTACAGTCTGGCATGATTTTGCAGCAGCTGGTATCGGTTGTTCCTTTCCATGTTTAGCGCTTCCTTCAGGAGCTCTTTTAGGGCAGGCCTGGTGGTGACAAAATCTCTCCGCATTTGCCGAGATGGCGCCACTGCACTCCAGCCTGGGCCAAAGAGCGAGACTCCATCTCAAAAAAAAAAAAAAAAGTAAAAAAAAAAATCTTTCAATTGGCAATTTGAAGAAGAAAAACATTGTAAAGATGGGAATAAAAATTACCTGCATTTGAAAATTAACACTGCGGGGGAGGAGCCAAGATGGCCAAATAGGAACAGCTCCGGTCTCCAGCTCCCAGTGTGAGCGACGCAGAAGATGGGTGATTTCTGCATTTCCATCTGAGGTACCGGGTTCATCTCACTAGGGAGTGCCAGACAGTGGGCGCAGGCCAGTGGGTGCGCGCACCGTGCGCGAGCCGAAGCAGGGCGAGGCATTGCCTCACCTGGGAAGCGCAAGGGGTCAGGGAGTTCCCTTTCCGAGTCAAAGAAAGGGGTGACGGACGCACCTGGAAAATCGGGTCACTCCCACCCGAATATTGCGCTTTTCAGACCGGCTTAAAAAACAGCGCACCACGAGACTATATCCTACACCTGGCTCGGAGGGTCCTACGCCCACGGAATCTCGCTGATTGCTAGCACAGCAGTCTGAGATCAAACTGCAAGGCGGCAGCGAGGCTGGGGGAGGGGCGCCCGCCATTGCCCAGGCTTGCTTAGGTAAACAAAGCAGCCGGGAAGCTCGAACTGGGTGGAGCCCACCACAGTTCAAGGAGGCCTGCCTGCCACTGTAGGCTCCACCTCTGGGGGCAGGGCACAGACAAACAAAAAGACAGCAGTAACCTCTGCAGACTTAAATGTCCCTGTCTGACAGCTTTGAAGA
Source organism: Homo sapiens (assembly GCF_000001405.40). Taxonomy (NCBI): domain Eukaryota; kingdom Metazoa; phylum Chordata; class Mammalia; order Primates; family Hominidae; genus Homo; species Homo sapiens. The sequence continues at coordinate 82,338,131 of NC_000003.12, forward strand.
GAGCAGTGGTTCTCCCAGCACGCAGCTGGAGATCTGAGAACCGGCAGACTGCCTCCTCAAGTGGGTCCCTGACCCCTGACCCCCAAGCAGCCTAACTGGGAGGCACCCCGCAGCAGAGGCACACTGACACCTCACAAGGCAGGGTATTCCAACAGACCTGCAGCTGAGGGTCCTGTCTGTTAGAAGGAAAACTAACAAACAGAAAGGACATCCACACCAAAAACCCATCTGTACATCACCATCATCAAAGACCAAAAGTAGATAAAACCACAAAGATGGGGAAAAAACAGAACAGAAAAACTGGAAACTCTAAAACGCAGAGCGCCTCTCCTCCTCCAAAGGAACGCAGTTCCTCACCAGCAACGGAACAAAGCTGGATGGAGAATCACTTTGACGAGCTGAGAGAAGAAGGCTTCAGACGATCAAATTACTCTGAGCTACGGGAGGACATTCAAACCAAAGGCAAAGAAGTTGAAAACTTTGAAAAAAATTTAGAAGAATGTATAACTAGAATAACCTATACAGAGAAGTGCTTAAAGGAGCTGATGGAGCTGAAAACCAAGGCTAGAGAACTACGTGAAGAATGCAGAAGCCTCAGGAGCCGATGCGATCAACTGGAAGAAAGGGTATCAGCAATGGAAGATGAAATGAATGAAATGAAGCGAGAAGGGAAGTTTAGAGAAAAAAGAATAAAAAGAAATGAACAAAGCCTCCAAGAAATATGGGACTATGTGAAAAGACCAAATCTACGTCTGATTGGTGTACCTGAAAGTGATGGGGAGAATGGAACCAAGTTGGAAAACACTCTGCAGGATATTATCCAGGAGAACTTCCCCAATCTAGCAAGGCAGGCCAACGTTCAGATTCAGGAAATACAGAGAATGCCACAAAGATACTCCTCGAGAAGAGCAACTCCAAGACACATAATTGTCAGATTCACCAAAGTTGAAATGAAGGAAAAAATGTTAAGGGCAGCCAGAGAGAAAGGTCGGGTTACCCTCAAAGGGAAGCCCATCAGACTAACAGAGGATCTCTCGGCAGAAACCCTACAAGCCAGAAGAGAGTGGGGGCCAATATTCAACATTCTTAAAGAAAAGAATTTTCAACCCAGAATTTCATATCCAGCCAAACTAAGCTTCATAAGTGAAGGAGACATTAAATACTTTACAGACAAGCAAATGCTGAGAGATTTTGTCACCACCAGGCCTGCCCTAAAAGAGCTACTGAAGGAAGCGCTAAACATGGAAAGGAACAACCGGTACCAGCTGCTGCAAAATCATGCCAAAATGTAAAGACCATCGAGACTAGGAAGTGCTTTTATTATAACTTGTATCATACCCCAGTCTTACTTCACCTTTCAAACAAACGGTCTACTAAGAGGTATTCACAGACACTCAAACTTTATCACTCCAGCCATCATCAGTTGAAAAAGTAGTGCTCAAAGGAAGAAAGATATTTTGATTTTTATATTTTTTGTGCCAGATTTATTTCTTTATTTTGGTGCTCTTATATGTGTTCCTAGCCTTGGTTTAGTAATGGTATTTAGGAAAGGGAGCCAGTGATGTCATACAATTAAGTTTCTAAAGGAAACCAGAATTCTCTTCCCCTAGGAGGATGAACTAGAAGGAAAGTGACAAGTGTATGTATAATTCCTTAGCAAACATTGTAATGCTTTTGTATTATAAACTGACATTTTCTAGGAGTGGTTTCAGGACTAGCTGATTGGTTATTTCATGATTCTTATTCAGTGAGAGTTCTATAGCAAATACTGATTTTAAGGAATTAAAATCAAAGTAACTCATGGAGAGAAAGATGTTGACACCTCTGTCTATCTCTTTGATGCTTTAGAAAATACATCTTATACTATTTAAATATTAAAAAATTGAAAAATCTATTTTTCTTTTAGAATTGAAATATATTTCATTGTTTTCTTGTAGGCTCTATCACAGATAATATCCTAACACAGTATCAGTGAGCTATCTTTTACAAAAAATTGATAACGAGTAAATTATGGACATTAAATTAATAATTCTATTGTTGCAGAATACATGCCCACCTTCTCCTCAACTTCTGCCTTAATGAAATGCACAATAATGGCTGGCTTACCAGAGTGGCCTGTTGTATGTATATAAACTCTAACTAATGAAAGAAGTGAAAACACTTTGAAAATCTACAGACGTGGTATTTCCTTGATCTTTCCATTCAAACTGTTATAGTGGTTCCATCCAGCCCAATAAGCCATCTTTGAAAGTAAACCCGGGGTCAACTCATGTGAGAGTATGAACGCTATCGCAGTGTTGACCTGTAGTTTTTTTAATGTCAGATTATGAATTTATTGATAAAAATAAATAAAATGAGGTCACTAAGCAGACTATTTCTAATTTATTTTAGAAAGCATTTTAGAATTTACTTGAGTAAGTTAGTTCTCTGAATTATCAAACTTAATTACTTGAAAACCCACAAAATAGGTACGGAATGAGACAGCTTAAGTGCCAGGTGTCAGGTAATAGTTCAAAAGAGAACTAAAATGAGCACATAAGCTTTCAAAAAGCACAATATCTGCTTATAGGTTGCAAAAGGTTGTGTTTTGCAGGATGTGTGTGTGTGTGCGTGTGTGTGATTCCATTGACTGTGCAGTCATGCACAGTATAACAATGTTTTGGTCGATGACAGACCTCATATATGACTTTGGGTCCCATAAGATTATATTGGAGGTGAAAAATTCCTGTTGCGCAGTGAACATTGACAATGTATGATAAGGTCATAGTGAAACACATTACCACTTCTATGTTTAGATGTACAAATACTTGCCATTGTGTTACAATTGCCTACAGATATTCAGTACAGTAACATTCTGTACAGGGATGGGAGCAATAGCCTAGGTGTGTAGCAGTCTCTACTATCTAGAGCTATATAAGTACACTCTATGATAGTCCCACAATGACTAAATTGCCTAGCAATGCATGTCTCAGACAAATCCTGTGATGCATATCTGTGTGTCCTTTAATTCTAGTCCTGAAATACCATGTATTACCATTACCTTTTTTATGCGATTCACAATTGTAATGGCATAAAAAGTGATTCTGGGAATCTCATAGCTCTTCACTATCCTTTGTATTATGTACTTAAGTTGCATTTTAAAACAAAATACATGATTATATGTAGCAGATTTTTCATGAAGATAATAATTTATTACTCTGTGAATTGATTCTTCCTGTTAAGCTCGCAATAATACAACTCTTATTCCAGTCTGCGGGAAAAGGAAGTCTTTCCTCTACCTAGCTTTAATTATTTCTCAAGAAGTTATTCTTATATTCTTCAACATGAACAGTTCCTTCAGTGGCCACAGTGCAAATGACTAATATGATGTAATACAAACTCCAACAACATGCAAAATACACTGGTAAAACATGGGGCCCTAGGCTCTTGTTTACATTTCTATATTGTCATATGAAGTCATCTCTTTAATTATTTCAATAATGAAACATTTACCAGTGTACAAATGAAGTCTGCCTATAAATTTTATTTACACAGATTACCAAATTGTTGAAATAAAGAGTTTTACTGTCACATACCCTATATTTGGAAGTTCTATAATTTTAAGAAACCACAGGTCTATGTAGCTTTGCATGTTAAAATATTTTAGTTTTCACATGGATGACTTTTTTTGAATGAATAATTCATTGCTCTCTTTTCATTATTTTGTTTAAGAAAACTGAGGATGAATCTAATTTATTGCTTGGTGATTAACCTACAAATGGTTAACCTTGAATATAAAATAATCATGACATTATATCTCATTGCAATGTAATGCAACATAATGTAAAGTAGTATAACAGAAAAATATAGTATATTTGATAGTAATTTTATGTTTTACAAGCGTTATAGGGTGCCTGCTTCATGCTAGACATCGTAATGGACAACAAGAATAGAAATTAGAAACACAAGTTTTGGGAGCATACAGACTATGTGGTGTGTTACTATCTGTTAGTTTCTTTGAGATGCTATAATACAACAAAATACCATAGAGTGGGTAGCTTATAAACAACAGAAATTTATTTCCCACAGTTCTAGGGGCTTAGAAATCCAAGATCAAGGTATCAGTGTATTTGGTGTCTGGTGAGGGCTTGCTCTTCCAATTCACAGATGATGCCTTCTCAGTGTGTCCTCACATGGTAGAAGGGGCAAACAAGCTTTCTCTGGCCTCTTGACGGAAAAGCACTAACCTGGCCAGACACTGTGGTTTGTGCCTGTAATGCCAACACTTTGGAAGGTCAAAGTAGAAGGATCAATTCAGGCCAGGAGCTTGAGACAAGCCTGGGCAACATAGTGAGATGCTGTCTCTTAACAACAACAAAAAGACACTAATCCTGCTTATGAGGTCTCTAATCTCATGAATTAATTTCCTCCCAAAGACCTCACCTCTAAATACTATTGCATTGGGTATTGGGGCCACATAAACGTGCACACCATAGCACTGTATTTGTGGATTTTGATTACTTTCTAATTTCTCTGAACCTCAGTGTTTTTAATAAAGTGAAACTAACAGTACCTACGTCATAGTTGCGTGTGTTTGAAGTTTAAAGAAGAAGATGCAAGCAAAGCTCTTATACACAGTCTGGAAGCCCTCCATGGAGATTACCCATTTAAGGAATTTGGAAAATGTTTAGATATAGACTCCACATTCAGTTATCTCCACAGAAGAGGCAGATACATAAATAAACAATAAGTGCATCAGTAAAAATGCAAACTATGAAAGTAGCATAAAAAGGGAGGAAATTTAGAAATGCTTTACTGAGGAGATGCTGTTTAACCAAATTTTGAGGAATGAAAAGGAATGTGGTACAGAGATAAAGAAAAGCAAAATAGAATTATTTGATACTGATGGAATGTGGTAACAAAACAACGTTACCACAATGTGGTAGTGTTACCAACTGGTAACAATACAAATTTAATTAGAATGGTAGGAGCCGTCAAGAAGTTCAGAATGATGGAAAAGTCAGTTTCAAGGGAGTCAGACACATTCCATAAAAGCGGATATAAAGACAGCTTCTTTTTCACTTCAGGGACAGTTGATTTCCTTCCCTTATAGCTCTCAGAAAATTTCACATAGTTTGTAAACACTCGTTATCTATTCAAACATCATTTATTGATGCCAGATACTAAGTTTTGGAAAGAAAAATGGAAACGAATATATAATAATTCCTTGTTCTTAAGTCCGATTGGAGAAAAATGTATATAAATAATTAGAACACATGGAAGTAGTGCATTAATAGAGCTACATTCAAGATACTACGGAGATAATTCACACCTACCTGTGATAGAGATCCTGTCACCAGATTTTCTCACTGTGACAAACTATAGAGTCTGGGTACTATAGTTTTAAAAAATGACTACTTGAAGTCAACATAGAGATAAAAATAAGCCAAAAATATAGGGTTCGATATTCCAGAAAGGATAAAATGTATTGTGGTAAACTGAATTTTTCTGTAGACTTTCCCCGTCAAGGAATTTGTTTATTCACTGTGAGAGACAGAGAAGCTGTAGAAGAAGCAACAGTCTCAAGCTTGTCGCATCTCACAAATACTAGATTTAAAGCTAGCAGGGCAATCAGAACCTGAAGGGCCAATATCCTCAATATAATGCTACATATTTGGGGGCAAGATTGCAGGAAACCAGTTCCAAAGCAGCCATTAGAAGGCTCAAAAACTAAGCAGAGATTTCAGTAGTTCCTCACTGTTGAGACAACAATGAGAATACTCCATTTGCAAAGGAAGAGGGGCCTTTGTAAAGCCTCCAGGCTTTCACCTGAGCCTTTTTATCTATTTCCGATCTTAAATATTGATATTTAATTTTAGCCCTTTTCAATTGCTGCCAACATGTCAATGACTCCAAAAGTACTACCTTCACAATCAAATAATTTTGTTACATCCAGATTTATATTTGTGACTAAAACTGGATATCTCTACCTATGCATTCATAGCTTTGACAAGGAACTAAGTTCAACTATGAATACATTCTCCTTTTTTCACTCTCCCAAGTTCCTCTTCCTGAATTTCTTATTTTGGTTAATGTAACATCTCCTCATCGACTCAAGAACCTGGTAAATATACACAAGCAATTTCTGATTTCTTGTCTTCACTCTCTAGAAGTTATATCCTAACACCTGCAAATTAATGCCTAAAAAACTTCAAGGACTCATTTTCACTCTAATTCTACTTGTCCTTATCCAGATGATATTATCTCTTGCTCACATTATTTCATTGTGCTCCTAACAGCATACTTGTTTTCAGCCTCTCTTTATCAGATATCCACAGTGTTTATCATTTAACATAACATATCATTTCTTGTGAGGCAAATAATTGCCCAAATGAATTCATGACCATTCACAATCTGATCTCATTTCCTATAAATTTCACCATGGGACCTGTGACCCTGATGCCCTATATACCTATATATGTTTATTCATGCTTCTCTCTCTGGCAAGAATACCCTTCCTAGCCTTTATACACCTTACAAAAGCCGGATCACCCTTCAAGGTCCAGTGTAAATAGCATCTCTTCTATGAAGTCTTAACAACTTCATTGTTTCCACTCAGAGATTAATTTCTGTCTTTCTCTGTGACTCTATGACTACTTCAGTTGTAGTGCTGGATTAACACTTACATTGTAGTACCATGAACTGCTCATAAATCTATCTTTTTTATGTGGTATGCTCTATTAAACCTGGGCTCATACTAATTGCCTTGTTTCTTCGCAACTTAACATAGGACTCCTGGGACATAATAAGTTGTGGATTGAATTATATTTTCTCACTCAAGAGGTTTTTATGGCTGAGAACACCCCAAACATGAAAGAAATGGGCTTTTAAAATGCATAATTGTATTGTTATATCGGGTAAATTTTTTGGGAAAAAGCAGTATTCAAAAACTTGTACCAAAAATTATAATCCCTATAGGAAATTTTAAAAAATATTATGCACACAACCTTTAAGGAGGTAAATATGAAGCTGTTTGACTGAAATAAAATTATTATGATGTCATTTTTAAATTGGATGTGTTTGTCTGCTGATCTTTTCTTGTGATCTACCATGACTGTAGACTTACTTGCATTAATTGTTATCAGCGTTCTGAATTGAAACAAAAAGCATAATACATCTCTGTAATTTCAGCAAGACTATAAGTTAAGTAAATATCTATTTATTCATCAAGATTTTCTATTTGTAGCTTAGAATAAGGAAAAAATATAATTTGCTGCTACCAGCATCGTACTTAATGTCTATCATGGAGAACATCTGAAAAATAATATACTTTTTTTATTTCTGATTAACACAAATGATTTTGGTAAATACGTTAGTTTCTAGCATTTATCTTTTCCACTGACTACTGTGAAAATAAAATGAAATAAAATAATTTTTAAAACCTGTATTTTGAAAGTGTAAAAACAACCTGAAAGAAAACATAGCCATCATCATCAGGATAAAATATTGTGTACTTTTAAAAAAGTATTTTTTTGGAGAGTTATGACAATTTTTATTCTTTTTAAAAAAGTCATGCACTACATGAGAAAAAAATTAAGGGAAGAAGAATTTACACATAATGTTAGAGAATGTTACTTTTTTTTCTAAAATATTAAGTTAGCCATACATCCTCAGCCAGATATTTCGATGTGATAATACATTATCTTCTAAAACCTTACTGCCCAGTAATGTCTATACCCAGAATTCATGAATCACCATTCCTAGATCTGAAGCATCTTTTCCAGAAAGCAAAACTTCTCCATAAAAGACTATCACCGGTGATAATTTAATATAATATGTTTTAGACCATCTATGGGATGCCTACTGGTAACGAAGAATAAAGACATCATTGTGTTTTTGTAATTTTTCCCTAATAATTTGACATTAATTTATGGTACAAGTGAGGATTTAATTTTCCCACTGGTATTAACTTTCTACTTAATTAAGTTAAACTAAAGGATAATCAATTTATTGGATTACTGTATTTTCCATGTTCAATTCAAAATCTATTTGTGTAACTTCCATAGCTGTTCTATAAGTTCTTGGCATAGTCAAAGGCTTTTGAACTAGATGTGTTATTGAGAGTTAGACAAAATACATAGTGGTAGAGGTATAACTTAAATTGCTTTCACAAATCCCCCATTCATTTTTTCTGGAAATCTATAGAGATACCAACATGGCATATTGACCCACAGAGTGGCACTGTAATTTATGTTGTTTAAAACAGTGAATTTCCTTGGAAATTGAATAGTCTGTGATGCTCATCATAAAAGAAATGGTTGCATGATTAATAAATCAATGCACTTAAATTACAACATTACCACTCATCCTAATAATCAGAAATCTTACAGAATCAGTAGCGTAAAAATAGTACAATGGGGCTGGAAGGGAAAGTTGTTTATAAAAGGACAAGGAAGCACTAGAGACACATGAAAGATGTTGGAAAAAAAACTCAAATTAAGTCAAACTTAAATTCCTGTTATATTGATCTATGAGACATTTCAGTAATTGCAGTGTCTCTTTTGTGAAATAGTCTAAGAAATTTCAAGAACAAAATGCTTGAAAACAATGTTAGAGTAAAATGTGCTAAATGTACCTGAAATCTACATTTTCAAAATCTAAATTTTCAAGAAAGAGAAAATTGTTATCCAGAATTTCAGGGAAGATAAAGTTAAGAGAAAATATGTTCTTTCAATTTTTTCCCCTAAGGTATATTTCCTTGTATTTGTCTTCAGCTCTTTTTAATATAACGAGGGGAGTATGTGCTTCTACTTCACTCTGAAACGATTTCTCCTGAACTTAATTTGTTTACACCCTCAGTACAATAACTTAAAACAACAGAAGCATTAGTAAATATTTTCTTGTTTTGCAAATAAGGACAAAGAGAACCAGAAAGTTAAAACTATTTGTTTCAGTCATAAAAGAAAAACTAGAATTAAGTGACACTCTAATCACTTTAATAGGTCACATCTAACCCTCTGTAGCCATATTTTGATGCTGCTGCCTTATTGATAAAAGAAAATCCATTGAAAATTGTTGGTATTTTTTTTTGATGGAGGTTCCCTTTCTTGATATCCAGATATTAAGTTGCTGTTCTGTCTAAAAAGTAAGACTTCCATAAATCTTGTTTGCTGTTTGAAGTTTAGTTGATCTGAATATAAAGTAAAGAAGTTAAAAAGACAGAAAGTGTTAGTAATTTATTCTCGTAATATCTCCTTCAGGGAGGTTGTACACCTTTTAAATAATAGATATGCTAAACTATATAAGTATGTATTTATTAAATTTTAGCAGCAATTCATAATAATTTCTTGTAGTCTACTTTTAAACCACTAGACTTTCTTTTTCTGCATGCTGTACAATTAAAGGATTACAAACGTCAATACACCAAGCAAGTTGGAAATCAGCTAATGCTATGTAGCAATGATTATGTGTATCTATGAAAGCATTTCTGGGCTAAAAACATGAACAGGAAATTCATAGAAGAGGAAATTCCAATCACTTAATACACTGATAAAAGAGTCTTTAGTCTTGCAAGTCACCAGTAAATTGCTAAAAGCATTAATGAGATTCTTATTTCATCCATCAGATTAGCAAACCTCAAGTGTTGACAAGGCAAACAGTATATGCAAACAGGCCCTCTCATATGCTGGAAGACACTTGAAGGACAGTTTGGTAAAATGTACTAAGGGTTTACATGTACATTCTCTATGACTTAGCAATTCTACTTCAAACTCTTAGAATTTAGGCTAGGAGAAACACTCTTATATTAATGCAAGAAGGAGCCATAATGACATTCACCGCAGCATTGTTTGTAATTTAGGAAAAAAAGGCAAAGAAACAAGCAATATGAAAAACAGGTAAAAAACAGTAGGTCAGAATAGTGTGCATTACTTTAAGACAATGTTTAGTAAAAAAAGAATGTATTTCTATAACTTTTCTTCTTCCCTCTTAAATAATATTGTGTATTTCCAATGATGTATGTGTGAGTGCTCACATTCCTGCTTGTGTTTGTAAATACCCAGAAAACAATAATTGAAGATGCACAGCATTCAGTAGCCAACAAAGAGACCTTGATTGATGGTGGTTAATAGCAATAGTTGTAGTGAGTTCATTCTTATGTACAATGTTTTAATAATTTTTTCCAGGAAAAATTATACATATGTTATTTATATAAATAAAATTTTACTTGAAAAATAAACTTAAAATAAATCTAATAGTAGCTTTAAGAAAAAAATATGTAATCTCATGCCTAATGTTCTTTATTTAGTTACCATTTAGCTTTATGTCACCATTGGAATATAGCAGGTGTTTAGCTCTACGTCATCTCGGAAAGAATGGTAATTCTTACCTCTTTCCTAAAACAAATTATGTCTCACTCTAAGCCATATTTTCAAATACATGTAGTACAATGTTAAGTCTGAGAGACACTGCTTTAACAATGGACATTTTTAAATGATTCTAAAACATTTTGGTCATGCACAATACTTGGGTTATTTTGTTGGATGATGGTAACCTCCAGAGAATTTTGAAGTAGGCTAAGATTAGCTCTATCCCTGATGTCTTGCTAAAAGTTGGAAAGAAAACCAACATTTAGACCAAACCTTGTTATATATACAGAAATGTATTAAGCAAATATTAACAAGTGGACATAAAATAGTTCAGGCCACTTATTTTGTAAGCACCATGAAACCCCAGTTCTCTCAACTTTTGATGCTTTGACCACAGCTTGAATGAGAGACTGATATAAGTGAGTCATGCTAATATTCTGAAAATAGGCCTCTATTTCCTGTTTAGCTGATATCAGACAATTAGAAATCCCTGAACCCAATGACTGGATACAAGACCATTTAAAGATCAAGCTTTTTGAGAATTCTGTGCTCTGATTATGCAAAGATGAGGAATTATTCTTAAATATTTCAATTTATATATCTTAAATACTATTAATTTTACTGAGATTCTATTGCTAATATATATTATAATAATTAACAAGCCATAATTTTGCCATTTGAAACATTTTATTATACTATTGGAGAAAGCCTTTGTGTTAAGATATGAATAGTAGAAGTGCTTTTAATAGTTACTCCGGAGTTTAGATTTATAAAATTTAATTATAACTGGCCCACATTGAAGTTAATTTATTGATTAGGACAACTGACTAAACCTTAGTATAATATAATCTGCCTACTACAGTATTAGTATTTTATTTTATTTTTAAGCATTTTTTATCATTTCAATAGGTTTTTGGGTAACAGGTGGTGTTTGGTTACACGAATAAATTCTTTAGTGGCAATTTCTGAGATTTTGGTGTACCCCTCACCTGAGTAGTGTACACTGTAGTCTTTTATCCCTCACCCACTCCCACCCTTTCCCCCAAGTCCCCAAAGTCCATTATATCATTCTTATGCCTTTGCGTTCTCATAACTTAGCTCCCACTTATAAGTGAGAAAATACAATGTTTTTTTTTTTCCATTCCTAAGTAACTTCACTTAGAATAATGGTCTCCAGTTCCATCCAGGTTGCTGTGAATGCCATTATTTCATTCCTTTTTATGGCTGACTAGTATTCCATGGTAAATATATATGTGTGTGTGTGTATATATATTTATATGTGTGTGTGTGTGTGTGTGTGTGTGTATATATCTCACATTTTCTTTTTTTTTCTATATCTCACATTTTCTTTATCCACTCATTGATTGATGAGCATTTGGGCTGGTTCCATATTTTTGCAATTGCAAATTGTGCTGATATAAACATGTGTGCAGGTATCTTTTTTGTATATTGACTTGTTTTCCTCTGGGTAGACACCCAGGAGTAGGATTGCTGGACAAAATGGTAGATCTAATTTTAGTTCTTTAAGGAATCTCCCACTGTTTTCCATAGTGGTTAAACTAGTTTACATTCCCACCAACAGTGTAAAAGTGTTCCCTTTTCACTGCATCCATGCCAACAACCATTATTTTTTTATTATGGTCATTCTTGCAGGAGTAAGGTGGTATCACATTGTGGTTTTAATTTGCATTTTCCTGATCATTAATGATGTCGAGCATTTTTTCATATGTTTGTTGGCCATTTGTATGTCTTCTTTCGAGAATTGTCTTTTCATGTCCTTAGCCTACTTTTTGATGGGACTGTTTGTTTTTTCTTGCTGATTTGTTTGAGTTCCTTGTAGAATCTGAAAGTTAATCCTTTGTCAGATGTGTAGATTGTGAAGGAGCAGTAAAATCTTTTTCAGACAAACAAATGCTGAAAGAATTTGCCAGCACTTAAAGGGATGCTAAAAGGAGTTCTAAATCTTGAAAAAAAAAACCTCAAAATACACAAAAATAAAACCACCTTGAAGCATAAATTTCACAGGGCCTATAAAACAATAATACAATGGAAAAAAAAACACAAGGTATTCAGGCAACAACTAGTATGATGAACAGAATAGTAACATTTCAATACTAATGTTGAATGTAAATGGCCTAAATGCTCCATCTAAAAGATACAAAATGGCAGAATGGATAAAAATTCACCAACCACGTATCTGCTGTCTTCAGGAGACTCACGTCACCCATAAAGAATCACATAAACTTAAAGTAAAGGGGTAGAAAAAGACATTTGATGCAAATGGACACCAAAAGTGAGCTGGAGTAGCTATTCTTATATGAGACAAAACAGACTTTAAAGCAACAACAGTTTAAAAAGAGAAAGAGAGACATTATATAAAGACAAAAGGACTAGTCCAACAGGAAAATATCAAAATCCTAAATATATATGCACCTAACAATGGTGCTCCCAAATTTATAAAACAAGTATCACTAGACTTAAGGAATGAGATAGATGGCAACACAATAATAGTGAGAAACTTCAGTACACTACTGGCAGCAGTAGACAGAACATCAAGACAGAAGATCAACAAAGAAACAATGGATTAAACTATACCCTAGAACAAATGGACTTAACATATATTTACAGAACATTCTATCCAACAACTGTAGAATATACATTACATTCATCATCACATAAAACATTCTCCAGATAGACCATATGATAGTCCACAAAACAAGTCTCAACAAATTTAAGAAAATTGAAATTATAGCAAGTACTCTCTCAGACCACAGTGGAATCAATTGGAAATCAACTCCAAAAGGACCTTCAAAACCATGCAAATGAGTGGAAATTAATTAACCTACTCCTGCATGATTGTTGGGTCAAGAATGAAATCAAGATGGAAATTAAAAATTTATTTGAACTGAATGATAATAGTGACAACCTGTAAAAATCTCTGGGATAGAGCAAAGGTGGTGCTAAGAGGAAAGTTTACAGCATTAAATGCCCACATCAAAAAGTCTAAAGGAGCACAAATAGACAATCTAAGGTTACACCTCAAGGAGCTAGAGAAAGGAGAACAAACCACACCCAAACCCAGCAGAAACAAAACAAAACAAAACAAAAGATCAGAGATAAAGGAAATTGAAGCCAAAAAAAAAATTCAAAAGATGAATAAAACGGAAAACTTGTTCTTTGAGAAGATAAATAAAATTTATAGACCACTAGTGAGATTAACCAAGAAAAGAAAAGGGGAGATCCAAATAAGCTGAATTAGAAAAGAAATGGGAGATATTACAACCAATACCATAGAAATACAAAAGGTCATTCAAAGCTACTATTAACACCTTTATGCACATAATAAACTAGTACAGTACTAATATTTTAAATGCAGGCATCAAAACAATGAAAATGCATAGTTTTACAAAAATACATGATTTGTATTAACTGGAATGTGATATGACTATGGAGGGCTTGGAGTTCATCACTGTGGCTGTGGTGTTCTGATTGAGAACCAGTGCATCACAGAATATTTGTTAAGCTCCATTTTTTTGTGACTTAAAAATGCATTGTTAATCTCACAGGTGGTTTATGTCTTTATGTCCTTATTTCTTTATTATCTCCCTCTATTACTATGTTAGTCAAGATTCTTGCTTAGAAAACATAAACTCAAACTGCTTAAATAATAGTTCACATTTTATTAAAACTGAAGTCCAGAAAAGTGGTAGGGTCCAGGGCTGGCTTACTATTGGCTCCATCTCCATTGCTCTATGAGTCCCCAAGATTCTTCTCTCTTGGTGCATGAGTTCATCGTCAAGATGGCATGGGTCTTATGATAAAATGGTTGTAGTTCGTCTTTCCACTACATCATCCTGATTGGAGGAGGATATATGTTAGAAATTTGACTATAAGTTTTATGCTTTGCTTTGATTGGATCAGCTTAGTTATATTCTCATCTCTGAAGCAATAATTATGGCCAGAGGATAGGTTATAATGATTAGTATTGTCACAAATACATGCTTAAATTCCTAGATGAAAGTTTGGCTAACCTCCTGGAATAGCATGTAGAAACTAGGTGCTATGGTAAAGAATAAGGAGTAACAACGAGTGCTGAAGAGAAAACAACCATGTATCTACTGCAATTATTAACTTCCTACTGTCTCCTTATGAGAATGTCATGGGAGATCCTCTAATCTTAAATAGTTTCAAGACAGGAAGGGGTATATTAAGTAATTTTCTCATGTTCCTCCATCATGGACTAATGGATGTCAATAGGAAGAAACAAGGAATTTGGGGATATTAATTTAATACACAACTATCATGAAAGGGCCATATAAAGACAATTTTTTTCTAAATCACACTTTAGTCCATACTATGCTGAAGGGGTAATAGCTGGAAGTTGTTTTTAAGTCTGTGGGCATTAGTCAAAATGCCATAAAAATCACATGTAGAGAACAAGGATAAGATACTTCATCATTCCTATTCTCCAGAATACTCTTTTCCAAATTAAGGTAGAGGTAACTTAGACAGAAGAATCTAGCTCTGCTATTATCTGAACTCCTGCTATTTTTAATACTAGTTCTATCTTAAAATAATATTTGAGTGAGGAAATGAACTTCATAATTTTAGGATTCTTTGGTCTAGTCACACAACTCTACTTTCATTATGAGCTGCCCCCTGCCACTCAAAAAAATTTTCAATTTGTCCACGTTGTTCCAGTAGAATAAATTGATGTCTATTTATTTGACTTAAATAATTCATGCCCAGCTAGCATAAGATCCCTTATGTTGATCTCTCTTGCTTCTGGTAATGTAGAAAAGAACAGAGGCTAATAATGATAGGTGTAGTCACATTTAATTACTAGAATTAATGTAGAGACTTTGTAATTACTTTCTATGAAGGCTTTTTTTTTAATTCAGTGAAAACAGGCCAGAAAAGCAGCTAATTTCAGAAATCCCGTGGCTGCTTGCCAAAGGTTTAAGCAACAAATGATAGTCAGGGTCATTGGCTCTCTGACAAACCAAGGGTGCCTGTAAGTTGTAGGTTTCAGTAACACCATTGAGAACTTTCAATTTAACTTGATACTTAAAAACGGCCAGTGGGAGTTTTCAATAAACTCAATCAATGTTGAAAGCAAAATGCTATTAAAAACATGGGTAAACATTGATTTTAGGCTTCAAGTACACTCAGGAACTATTCTTGGAGTGGTCTCTTAATACCTCGTTCCTACAGTAAGAAGTGACTGCTATGGTAACATAACATTTCACACAATAGTTGTCACAATCAGCTTCTTTCCTATGTTCTTGAATGATCATATTTTTAAAAGCATGTAGCATTTTCATAGTAACTATCTTAGGATAAAAAAAACCTCTTTAAGGCTTTTTGGCCTCCTGCAGTACGCATACCTAATTTTCAATATGGCTGTAATTTTTAGCTATTCGACAGGCAGCAAATCTTATATTTTGAGCATTTCCATTAGTGTCACTTCTGAATCCATCATCATTCAACTTATGTCTACTGAAATATGTTTTGCTGATCTAGACATAAATGGGCTGTGAATTGTAGCTACAGATGGCTCGGAAACATACATATATAGTGAGCAAAGTTTGGATGACTGAAAGAAATTTGACAGAAATACCACAAGGAGAAATTGTGTATCATTTCAATAACTGGGTAAATAAACTAAAATCAAAACAAGAACAATAATAACCTTCTCTTCAACAAAAATGTGTTACATTCACCTGATGGACACTAAAATGAAGTTGGTCATTTTAAGCAAAAACATGGCTTTTCCATTCTCTCCATTGTAGAGGATTTTCTGGTTGGTTATTGGGCTGGCAGGATAGGAGAGGCCATGTGCTCTCAGAAGCGATCCACAGTGGGGAAGGTCAGTGTGTGAAATTAAGCCAAAGACCTTGAGGGGAGCCAGAAGCCTGCTGAGTAACCCTACATAAATGCCAAGTCCAGAGGGATAGAGCTACGTGGTAAACAAGAGGCAACATTCTAGTTGCGAACCAGATTGTTACTGAGGCAGATTTTGAGGAAGTGAAGACAGACAGGGCCAAGTGTTATGGAGAGGTATTTAGCTGCAGAATATTAATAACAATTGCCTAGCATACGCTTAAGCTGATTTAAATGTGGCTAAAGGATATGTCTGACTGGTAGTTTGTTTTAAAATTTCTTTTAAATGAACTACAGAAATGTTGGATACTGGTTTGAATCTCCTTTTTGCTGTTGTTGATCTAGTAGCTTTATGATTTCTTTCTTTTGGTTTTCTGATATTTCATGAAGCTCTTTCTAGGTGGAAGTCTTTTGTAATTCCCTTACCATGAACTTGGTGGTCCTGTTCAATTTGGATGATTCTTCAGATATTTGAGGGATAGTTTCTTCATTTCTATTTTCTCTGTTTCTTTTTTTGTTCATTGAATATTAGCCTCCTGGAGCAACTCTATTTTTGATTTTTTTTCACATTCTTTTTCTCTTTGCTTTCACTCAGACATGACTGCGTTCAATCATTAAAATAGTAAACCATGTTTTCAAAATTTGTACATTTGTTTTGTGTTCTTGGCCAAGTTGTTTTGTTTTATAGCAAAATTTCTTGTTTGTAATTTGTGGCCTTAATAACTTATCAAACAACTATGAGGATACAAATTTAATTTATGTAATCACTTCTCTAGTAGTCTTTCTGTTATAAGTAGCAATATTTTCTCAAAAATCTGGTGACCTTGGTTTTCTATTACTCTTTAAGTATGAATGGTTAGTTTGGATTACAGCTTCTTCTATTTGGGTTAATTTCTCAGTACGTACACCTTGATTTTCAATCTGCCAGAACTATTTTTAATAGTGTTTGAATGTTGATCAATATATGTAACTGTCTTGGGTTTTCTCTGTCCTTATGTAATGAGGCCTAGTTTCTCTTGACAATACGGCTGGCTGACAGCAAAAGGTATGTGGGAGAGCTGTGAGACTTGCAGGAATGCTTTGTAAATGTATGCAGAGACCAGAAGCACACATGTTCCTGCCCCCATCCCTATGCACATCTAAAATGAGATAAAATTATTCTGAAGTGCTAACATCATTTGAGAAACCTTTATTTTCCTGAGGCATGCAATTTCTAGAAACAGACCTCCAGTTTTTGCCTTGAGAGAAACATTAGGGGGTGAAGACATTTATAAGTGGTGTTGAGGAATGGAAGGTAAAAAGTTGACCAAGCAACTTTTCCCATAGAAAACCCTTTAAATAATCAACCTGCTTTCTGTCCCACTTCTCACTTCTACTCTCAAAACTTGTCTACTTTTGTGGGTTTTTGAAAAATATTCTCTCAGCACTCCCCTTGCCTTCCTATCTTTTTGTACTGGATTGCAGATTCTTTTATTCTGATATTTCTCTTGATATTTATGTCTTGGTTTTTCAACCTGTCAGAAATATTTTAATCATGTTTGCATGTTAATGATCCATCCCTGCCATGCACACTGTGCTCCTTGCTGTTATAGATTTGTAACATTTTGTTAAAATCTTATTTATTGCAATAAGATTTAGAGGGAAACAGAAAGCTGATACAGTTGCGCCTTCTGCCAATTTGAACTAAAATCTTTGGCATAATTTTTTAATGCAAATATTACATTAGTTTTCTTCAAAAGGCCTCTCGTTCCTTGCTCATGGCTGCATCCCTCCAAGGCCTGCTTACTTGGCGTGTAGCCTTCTCTGACTCTCTTGCCTCTTCCCTTCTCCCTTATTAGGATCTTTGTGATTACATTGGGCCCATGTGGATAATCCAGAATTAATTTTCAAGATACTTTACCTAATCACATCTGCACAGTCTCTTCTGACATGTAAAGTCACAGGTCCCAGGGATAAGAATGTGGACATCGTTAAGAGCCCACTATTTTGCCTGCCACGATCATGTACATGGTTTTATGTCATCAGCCAATATCCAGGAACATCATGACTAATCACTAGAGTTACTTCATCCATTATATATCATATTTTATTTAACCAATTAACCAAATACTTAGTTTAGCAAATATTTATTGGTTATTTACAGAGACTCTGACATAGTGCTAGAAAAAGAAGATAAAATGATGGACAGGTTTTTAAAAGTCTCTGCTGTTGTGCCCTTTATCCACTATACATATGAATGGGAATTATTTTCCTTAAGAGCTGAAGCTGGGGAAAGGCTTAGAAAAGCTCCAGCTGAGCTGAGTTATAAATATTTAGTTTAGGATGCTTCCCGTGGTTTTTGTGATTATCATCGACCTTTTTGGTCAACTGACTTCTATGACTTTAGATATAATTTGATATCCCAAGAGGAAGACTTAAGAAATATTTAAGAAATATTAAGACTGGAAATTTAGGATTTCCAGGTTTAGGAGGAGATGTTGATAGCTCCAAATTTGTAGTTTCTGCCATTCCTGAAACAATCTTGAGTAAATAAGTGATGGAAATGTGAAGGAATCAGTTCAGATAACTTTCATAGACTAAGTAACGACCAGGGTTAAACCTGATATTTCTCTTATGTTCCCTACATTGCCTAGCCCAGTTCTGTATTTGCAGGAGTGCAATACACACTTGCTGATGGATTAGCTGAATTCACAGAAGCAGCAAACAAAATCACTGGGAAGATGAGCATGAAAATGTCCGTCTCAGACTCCAGAGCCAGGTTCTTACGGGATTCGGTCCTATCAGAGAAGTTTATATCTGTGGTTATTCCCACAAATGGCTTCCCTGTAACATGAAAAAGAAAACCTTAAGTTACTGAAATTTTTAGTGAATAAAGACAAAACAGAATGATTATTCTATGAAGTTCATAAAGGTAGGATACACCTTATAGCTGCTGACTGCTGACACAGAGGAGCATCTAGTGTATGTATTGATTTATAATGAACAAAGCATTGTCTTCACAACCAGATTGTTTATATAAAGTATATATAAAAAAGTACCTTCAAATTTTAGTTGATAGACATATTACCTGCAATTTTCATAGGCCAAAAGTTGAGATAATTTTAATATTGAACAGACATTGTCCAGCACTTGTCAATCATTATTTATGAGTAATTTCAATTGATTGATTAAAGAATTGTGATACAGAATTCTAAAAATGTATCATTAAACTACTGAATTTTAAAATATAAGGTTGTGAAAACCTAGGGTTTATTAGTGACATCCCAATGGGTTGTGAAAACACATTAACTTTGGAGTAATCTGCTCCACGACCACCATCTGACTCTGAAATAGGAAGAAAAAAAAAAAAGCAGGAAAACAAACAAAATGCAGCAGCATTACAGAATTTCATCTTCGCACCTCACAACAAAAAATAACTAGCTCAACAGGGTTAGGTACTGAAAAGTATAAAATATCTCCAAAGTTAGAGCAATTGACTGTCCATAGCTATTATCTCTAAAATAAAGGGCATGGGAATGAAAGCAAAAATCACTCACCCAGAGAAGTTATTTTGTCATCCTATGTGGCTAGCTTTTCTTGCTTCATAGAAGAAATATTAATACTATTTGGTGTATAAATAAAAGTTTTCTTGTTTGTTTCAGAGGTATTTGCTCTGATTTGATTCCTTTTTAAAATATTTTATTTAATGATAAAATTTTATCTGATGCATATTTGTTCATTTTTATAGTGAAAGGCCCATTTTTCTCTATTATTACTATGCACATTTGTAATTTGTGTATATTTTTGCTAATAGTAATGTATTAGTTCATTCTCACACTGCTATAAAGAACTACCTGAGGCTGGGTAATTTATAAAGAAAAGAGGTTTAATTGACTCACAGTTCTGCAGGCTTAACAGGAAGCATGACTGGAGGCTTCAGGAAATTTAAAATCATGGCAGAAGTGCAGGGGAAGCATGCACATCTTCCCATAGGAGAGAGAGAAAGAAATGGGAAGAGCAACACACTTTCAAATAACCAGATCTCATGAGAGCTCACTCACTATCATGAGAGCAGCAAGGGGAAAGTCACCATGTCAGTCACCTCTCACGAGGCCCCTCCAGCAACATGTGGGGATTACAATTCCAGATGAGATTTTATTAGGGACACAGAACAAAACCATATCAAATATGATCCAAGAAAGAAAGAAAGAGAGAGAGGGAGGGAGGGAGGAAGGAAGGAAGGAAGAAAGGAAGGAAGGAAGGAGGGAGGGAGGGAGGAAGGAGAGAGAGAGAGAGAAGAAAGAGAAAGAAAGAAAGAGAGAGAGAGAAAGAAAGAAAGAAAGAAAGAAAGAAAGAAAGAAAGAAAGAAAGAAAGAAAGAAGACATTCTTTTTTTTTTTTTTTTTGGCACAATAGAGGTTCCAGTAGCCAGGGAAGAGCTCCATTCCATACTAACCATGAGAAGGGGCTTTATTCCTGCAGCAAACACTTTCTGTTCAATTTATGCAGCATCTTTATGCTAGCTAAGGTATTGCCCTTTTTCTCTAAATGGCCTAACAAGCTTTACTTGAAGTCAACCTTGGCAGTGTCCTACTCTATGCAAAGAATGGTTGCCTCAGTCTGTTTGTGCAGCTCTAACAAAATGCTTGAGACTGGGTAACTTTAAAAGAACAGAAATTCATTTCTCACAGTTCTGGAGTCTGGGAAGTACAAGATCAAGGTGCTGGTATTGGTGTCTGGTGAGGGCTACTCCCTGCTTCCAGGATAACACCTTGTGGATGTGTTCTCCGCAGGGGACAGATACTGTGGCCTCAAATGGCAGACAGCAGAAGGACAAGTGACCACTTCTTTCAGCCTTGAGACCTTTTATAAGGGTGCTAAACCTATTCATGAAGACTGTCCCAAAAGCCATACCCCTTAGCAATTGCATTGGGGATTAAATTTCAACACAAATTTTGGAGAAGGCACCATCATTCAAACTATAGCAGTAGCCATCTACACCTAAGGTGATGCCTTAATAATGATCTAATCCCAAAAGGGGAAATGCCCCAAATATTTGTAGCAGGGAATTCGTTATACACATATTGAGGAGCTGATATCCAGAAAACCTTAATGTTCTTTAGAGTTTTGCAGCTGAGGTCATTATCTTTAGATCTTAGTCTAGAAAGAAACAGCGTTACTGGTACCCTGGGGGACTACTGGAATAGGCATACAGTGGGCTTGTCTGGTAATGGAAACCACAGAGAAGATGCAGCTTTGGCCAGAGAAATCTCCTAAGACTGAAAGTATGAGAACAACATCCTACATTTTGCCACCATCCCTTCAATTTTACACCAGTGTTTACCATTGATACATCCCATAAAGACATCAAAAAACTGACACTAAGCAGAGATCTGGTGCCTTGCATTGAAGAGCAGAGGCAGGGGAAGGGATGAATATACAGACAGCCAGGGAGATCTGGAATAATTTCCACTGGGGATCATTTGTTCTTATGATCTATCTGGTTCTTATAATCCTAACACCCGGTCTTTTTTTTGGACGAATACTTACCCCTTTGCTCAATTCTGACCCTCACTTCTAACTCCCGTTGCTATATAAATAAGTTGGGCAGACTATATGTTACAAAATGTATGAGCCCATGTGAAGCATAGTGATTTATTAATGAAGATTGAGAATAATAGATATAAAAGAGGTACTCATATTTATTGCCAAATCAGTGTCAATAAATATTCTTGTTAGTGTCTAGTATCTTTTGTTATTCAGGTCCAAAAATTACCTTTTTTTTCTTTATTTTTTAAATGCAACATGCTTGGCTAATTTTAATTTTATATCTTCCATTGCAATAAAAAAGGAAGTGACTCTGCTACTTTTTATTGTGCCGTGACTCTTCAGAACTTTTCTATATTCAAATAATATAGAATTTCTTGCCTCTCCACTTCCCTAATACCACTTACATAATTCTGGTTTTTCATTGTTACTCTTGTGTTGGATCATTCATCGTGGTGCCAATGACTTTCAGAGATTGTGACTGTGCTCTGCTGATGGTGATGACAAATCAATTCTTATCTGGAGTACACAGGAAAATGTGGACAGTCATTCATTTTTTGATCATGTTAGATTAAAATTAAAAACACTTAAAATTATTTTATACCATTAATATGGTATACATCTCCAAAAAAGTCTTCTCTAATATACTTTAGGCCATAACCAATGCATTCCTAGATTGTGATCTTTTTGAAATTTTGACTGCATCCATGTCTTTCACAACCACTATTAGAAGGGAGAAAAGGCAAGAATGTTTTTCCTTTGTCCAGCAGGACTTAAGACCAGCCTAGGAGAGGTTAAAAGTTACCACACTGACTGGAAGAGCTCATTAGTATTATGAAGCAATTGTCTCAAATATTCTCAGAGGAGATAGTCTTGGCCACTTATATTAATTTCCTAGGGCTGCCGTAACAAGATACCACAAAGTAGGTGGCTTATACAAGAGAAAGTTATTGTCTTACAGATCTGAAGGCTAACATTGCTTCTTTCTGAGGACTGTAAGCCTGTCTTCTAGCTTCTGGTGGTTTGCTGGAAATCTTTGGTGTTCCTTGGTTTGTGACAATACAATTCCAATATTCACATAGTATTCTTCCTGTATATTTGTCTCTGTGTCCAAATTTATGCTTTATGCTTTTTATAAGGACATAGTCATGTTGGAATAGTGCCCAACCTAATAATTTCATCTTAACTTAATTTTCTGCAAAGTCCTTATTCCCAAATAAGGTCACAATTACAAGTACTGGAGGTTAAGTCTTCAACATTTGAGGGACATAATTCAACCCATAACACTATCCTTGGAAGACTGCCTGATCTCAGGCACGGGGCTTGTGGAAGTGGTGGGGTAAGTGCTCTTGGTATGAATGATGCCAAACACATAGGGTAAAAAAGCCTATGACAATCCCCACTGTCTTTGGGATTTGAGGCAACATGGTTGGAATTGGATAGGAGAGAGCCGCGTAAGCCCACATACGAGGTTTGAGCCCAGGGGTTGGTAATGGGCTGATGGAGGGCATGAGTTTTGAGCTAATCCTCTGTCTGATGTATGACTTACCCCAAATCATAGCATTAGCACCATTTGCGCAGCCTAATAGTACTTGATCCTATGAGAAAATGCTATTTCTCCTGGATTTTTTTTTTTTAGTATGGAAGTACTTTTCCATTTTTAGTTTTTTATTTTTATGTCTTAGTGATTATTTTCATCAAAATATCTGTGGTGATAGACACCAGCTTATGTAGAAGGAAGGAGCAATACATCTATATTCTCTCATTAGAAAATTAATAAGTAAAAAGTGTACCTATATACATGTTATTAATGATATGATGTACAGTCTAGTGACACATAAATACAAAATGAGTTCTTAGTGTTACTACGTATTGAAATCTCTGACAGAAAGCAGAAATTTCTTTTAAAAGTTCAATCAAGTAATCATGAGAAAGGAAAAATAATTCAGTTAACATCTAAGTTAGTAAATAAGGTGGTCATTTTTCTTTTTTCAATGTCTAGTATAGGCCTCTCAAAAATAGTCTTTAAGGGTACACAACTTGACACCTTGGTCCCTAATCAAATGAGGGATGCATATGACAAAGGAAAACAGCTGTGTAGAAGTATTAATGTCAATGATGTTAAAAATTCCTCTTTGAAGGAAACAAATAGAGAAGTACTTTAAAACTCTCATCTCTGACTTGAAGCGCAAATTGAAATATATTTTTAAAAACTTACTCTCAGAAGATAGGTTTTTCATTAGGAAGAAGATTGCTGAAACAATGTTCCAATCTCAAAGTATGTGAAATTTCAAATTCTAAGGAGAATACATGTACAATAAAGCAATTATCTACTAGTAGTAGCTTTGAGGAGGAAAAAGGGCTTTTTTCTTTTAATGAAGAATTATTATTTCACTAAATGTATCATAGTTTGGCTAAATTCAGTTTTTAATTCAGTGATAATTTAGCTTTAAAAATGTGGGCCTTATCATAGTTTAGAGGAGAAAAAGGATGGATGAAATATCTATCAACAACTTTTTGCTATCTTATGACTCCATGATACATTTACATCATGGGACCAGAGCCTGGTTCTCAGTATTTTAAAATCTGGATATTGATTGTATCAATCTAACTAGGGATATTCATGTGCTAGTATATTCATCCAAATAACAATAGATTAATTTAAAAGTTAGAAAGCAATTTAGAACTTTGCATGGAGGCATTCAAGTGTTTAACCATAATCGCCGTTTATATTATAACTCAAAATTTCACTGTTTTTTCCTGTATTCTACAGAATAAAGTCTAATATATTTTTCTTGGCATGTAATTCATGCTGACTTTATTCCAAATATTTTTCTACTTTTACTTGCTGTTACTTCCTTCCATTCCTGCTACATTCCAACAATAGTTCCAGCTTTACCTTTTCCTGCTTTTATGCATTAGCTACATTGTACCCTCCAATTAGAGTGCTATTCCTTCTTTCTAGAGCTGTTCAAATCTTTTCAAAGTCAACTTGTTTTCTCCATGGAAGCTTTTTCTGCTCCACTTTCTGCTTCCAAATGCCAATTGCAGAATTATTGTGTATTTTCCATAACCTTTCACTTAATACTATATGTAAGTTTTCTTAGATTTTATTTCTCTTATGATTACACTCTTGGAGGGCAGTCAGTAATATATCAACACATACCTATTACTGCTTTCTACATAGCTTTATGCAAAATGTCTTTCACTTAGTATTTTCTCAATAAAATAATAATTTAACTAAATGTGCTCAAATTTTAAAAAAAGAAGTTAAATATTTATACTAATTCATCAGTTTTCAAATCTATGAAAATATTTGACTGGAGAAATTTGGAAGATTAATAAAATCTGGTACTTTGATCGCTGTACAACAGAAAGAAAAATACTTGCCAAGCAAATACAAACATTTGCCTTCCTTATTCTCTAAGTATCAGCCTGGTATTGCATAATACTTGGCCTATAAGTAGGTGCTCAATAAATGTTGCATGAATGAATGCCAGTGTCAAATTCTGGCCCTTTGGCTCTTCTTTTCTCCCTCACCAGAATTCAAGCATGCCTTTGCCTTCTTCTGACATTACATAAAAGAACTAACAATTAATTAGGTCAGTGTATCTTATATTGGCTTTATTTTAGTCTCTTTAATGAGATTTGAGAAGCATCCTTGTGTAATCATTTTCACATTTAGAAACCATCTGCTAGAATGGGTCATTTCTGCAGATGGCTAATCTCATTAATGTATGTTGAATCTTTCCAACTTCAATATCAGAGTGAAATTTTCCGACTAGTTCCCAATCTTTAGAGGAACACTTTATTTGGAGTCTTCAGACTTCTATGATCTGGAGAAATAAGTAAATGTACTCTCATTTGTATGCAAATTTCCTTTACAATGAGAATGATTTGCATTATGTGAAGAACAAGTCAAATGGACCCTACATTTATACAGCTTATTGTTACTCTCCACGGAGAGCCAGCAAGGCATTTAGAAGGTGGTAATTTGAGCCTTAATTAGTATTGATTCAAATGGATACTCATGACAACTGTGTTCCTCTAGAAATGACATACAATGAATTCTACTGAATTCTTACCTACCTTCATTCAATCCTAAACATTGGTGATAGTAGAGTTTGGACCCTACATAGAAGCGTGTCCACAATTATCTGTTAAGAACAATATTTGGCATGCACCATTTCAGCTACTTTGTCTTTCTATACTGGCTCAATAATAACGTCATTGAAAAGAATCCTAAATTATATATTTTGCATAAAAAAATTGCAGTGAACACTTGCACATATGGACTATATAAACCAGAACATTCAAGGATTTTAGAGAATGAAGGAATAACCCCAATTTATCTGAACATGATACTATAAAAAACACATTTCTCTCATAAAAGTGGAAAATTACTGTCATAAAAGTCAATAACACTCAGGAGAGAGATCAAATGTTAGAACTGCAGGAACCTTCGAGACCTTAATCACTTCACTTTTCAATGAGGAAATAAATATCAAAAGCTATTGTGACCTATACATGATCAAACAGCTAATTCATTAGATAAATTAGTCCTGGCAAGATTCTCTTAAATGTGTTTTTATTCAAAATTTCACCACTTAATATTAACTCTTTTTGTTTTCTGAATGTTTGGATGGCTGAGAGCCTAGTCTTCCATGAACACATGAAGTTGTCATGGAGAAGAATAGGAATCATAATCTAGAAATAAATTTCATATCAGAGTGTTTCTTGCTCTGATGTCACTGATATTTTGTAACTAACTATTCAGCAATACTTCTAACTATTCTGTGTGGTGAATGATGTTCCCTTTCCAAAGTCAAATGGATAGAGAATGAGAAAAGTATTAGCAAAATGAGATGATTCTTGTATTGTTTTGTGCGATTCATCAATGTACAGAAGAGACAGATAACCCGATTCCAGTTTTAGATCTGTCTACATGGAACATTGCCAGTATTGCAGCAAATGACAAAGGACAATGGTGGAATTACATGCTGGCTCTTGAAAGTTCTCTTTCAAAAAGTTACGTGTTATCCCGCTTATATTTCCTTGGCTAAAGCAAACCACAGAGGCAACCCTGATTTCAATGAGATAGGCAAGTAAAATCTCCCCTACAGAAAGAAAAACTGCAAGTCACGTGACCAGGCTTTATGAATGGGGCGAGGGATCAAACCCTACCACAGGGATTAGCAGCAAATATTTAAAAACAATTATAGAATCAATTTCAGGATGTAGAATTACTATATATGAAAAAGTTATCTATGAATAGTAGGTAATAAAGGTTAAAACCAGGAATTGCTTTCTGTAACTTTCCTAATTAATTACACAGACAACAGTTAATGTTCTAAATATTGCTATCTGATACTTGAAGCTAATTCTTTGATATCTTTAAAAAAATTCTAATCGAAAAATGGTGGAAGGAAAGAAGGCAGGAATGAAGGGTAAAAGGAAGTAAGGCAGAAAGAAAGAAGGAGGGAAGGAAAGAAAGAAGGAATGAGGGAAGAAAAGAAGGAAGGAGAGAAGATAGAGAAAGGCAGGAAAAGCAAAGAAGAGAAGGAACATTTTTGTATGTATTCTTCTTTCTCCAGGACCAAAGTGTTTACTTAGATGTGAAACTTTCACTGCTAAAACCAGGAAAGTCTGGGTAAACTGGGATGGATAGTCACTATACTCGCACACAGCCTTGATGAAGAAACAGTGTATACACAGCAACAGCACCAAGGAGGAGAAAATACAAATTCGCCTGCTACTGTTACATGTGTGGTGAAAGAAGACATAATATTCTTGAATGAGAGACAAAAGACTCTGTTACTTAGAGCAATGGAAGTAGAGCATTGACATCTTCTGTGCTTGTTCCCCCAGGCCCAGTCCCAACAGGGTGATGTGAAAGAATGTAAAGGTGCGCCTGCACACACAGTGAGTTGTTACACTAAAGGATCTCTGGGATTAGGGAACCAGGATCTTTTAAGTAGGCTGTAAGCTTGCCTGAATTTTGCTCCAGAGGGAAACATTGTCTTTATTATACTGGAGGAACCTTTATTACACTGAACAGGAAGTGGGCCTGTCATTGTCTTTGGTTGGAGACATTTTTGTTTATTTCCAGGCTTTTCACTATAGAAACATCTGTGAAAATATAATCCAGAATAAAAATAGTCATTATCTCAATTGACAAGACATGCAGAATTGGGCTAGACCCATGGAGAATTATCTCCCAACAATTTTTATTTCTAAAACTGTTATGAGATGCATTTTAGCATTTGAATGGGATACTGGGAAGGAAAAGTTGATATTCTCTCTGCTATAACCTAATTATTTTACACATATATTTTGCAAAACTTGTGCATAAAGAACAGCTATACTGGGAGTTAGGACAGGGTTCTAAAAAAGTGAAATTGCCTTTAGTCATATATAAATAACTAATATGAATATGTTAGAAGAGAGTGTTTGATTGAGGAGAGAAAGAGTTTTTAAAAGGCCAGATAGGAAGCATTGTTTACAGATCATTGTCCATTTTATTTGAGATTCACAACATCAGGAGTAGTTGGAGGACAGCAATGCTTCCAGTGTTTTCTACATATTACTTGTAACATGATAGCACATCCTGTGACTGTAGGTGGGCTTCCTATTTTCTTTGTTTCAGAGGTACTTCCAGAAATTGGGCCACACATTGGGCCAAACAATGTGTGGCCCAAGAGAGTGTAGACTTGACATGCTCTTTCCTGTCATGTGCCTTCTTCACCACTCAGCCTTCTTTGGCTGTTCAACATGCCTAAGAATGTATCTGCAGCTACTCAAAAAATCCCACTTAGCCTTGTAATAAATTGCAACATTGCTGAACACTAATGAATTCCCACTATCATCAGACACAACATATAATAAGGCAGTGGTCCTCAATCAGGGGGATTTTTCACCCTTCCATGGGATATTTGATAATATCTGGGTACCTCGTGGGTAGAGGTAAGAAATACTGAAAAACACATGGCAGTCCATGGTACAGCTTCCCACAATAAAGAACTATCTAGCCAAAATGTCAATAGTACCAATGTTGAGAAATACTCCTATAAAGCTCTGTATACATTTAGCCACTTTAAATTCAGTATTAGCAAGTATTTATTATAACTCTAACAGATGTATGTGAATAAATATTCCTGATGAAAGAAAAACTTTAGCCAGATTAAATTTAAAGGAGTTTAATTGAGCAATGAACAATTCACGAACAATTCAGCCCCCAAAATCACAGCAGATTCACAGAGACTTCAGTGCAGCCACAGGGTGGAAGAAAGTTTATAGACAAAAAAAAAGGAAATGATGTACAGAAATTGGAAGTGAGGTACAGAACGACTGGTTTGGTTACAGGTTAGTGTTTGCCTTATTTGAACACAGTTTGAACACTCAGCAGTGTATGAATGGTTGATGTATGGTGACTGTGATTGGCCAAGATTCAGCTATTGCTACAGGCACTTGTTTTAATCTTGTCTACCTCTTAAGCTGGGTTGCATTTTGTCCACAAGGACTCAAATATAGAAGTATGGAGTCCTTCTCAGGCCATATTTCATTACTTTAACAATTCTCCCCTTTTGGTCATTTTCTTAATTTTGAGAGATTGACCAAAATTTTAGTTATTAATATCACTATTACCATTGTTAATGTACTTATTTGGTCTTGAAACCCACTGGGAAACAGTAGAACAGTGAGTTTTGCAAAGGTAAGAACAAGAACTGAGTAGAGGGTACCTCTTTATGCTGGAACATACTGTTTACAGGAGAAAAACAAAACCTAGTCTATTCTAAGATCTATGTGTTTCCTTAAAGTCTTAGTTTGATTATGTTTTAAGATCTATGTGTTTCCTTAAAGTCTTAGTTTGATTATATTTTAAGATCTATGTGTTTCCTTAAAGTCTTAGTTTGATTATATTTTAAGATCTGTATGTTTCCTTAAAGTCTTAGTATGATTATTTAGCAGGATTGACTCCATTTTAGTTTGGTTTGGCCTGTTGGGGCCTAGTGTGTGAGCTCAGTCCAAAACAATGGCCTTCCGTAATTTTGTTAAAAAAAAAAAATCCCCCCTTTTGTTCAGCTTCTCACTTAGGTGAGCATCTGACCAAAACTAGGGCCTTAGCTCCACTCTCTGTCACCATCGTTTTGGGTTTCCTGTCTCAGCACATCATTCATAGGTTACAGTATCTTCATAGTCACACATTTCTTTCATCTCTTGTTATTCCAGTTGAACAGAGACCATTTGTTGTTCTAGAGATGCCTGCATGCAAACATTTAAAACTTTTGAGAGAATACAGTGCACCAGGAAGACTATTATTATGACTATTGGGAGGATAATACCAAGAGTTTGGAGTATGCTCCTTACCCAGTGTCCCCATAAACCAAACCACCGAAAATTAAATAAAGAATGAGCTAAAGAATCTACTCACTTGACTAAGTGGTCTTTTTATTAATGCCCTACAACTGAATTTCTATAATCTACATTTGATAAATTTCTTCATAGGCCATAAGTACCAGAAGCTACACAAGTACTTTTCTGTTTAGCCAATTATGTTATTTAGAATAACTTTCACAAAAGAACTTAAAGCCTGTTGTTTAATGATAGCCTTTACAGTAGAATCTGCTATACAGCCTATCAAAAGGGATACATTTCTAATTATTGCCTCTTTTATTCTAAACCATGGAAAAAGGACCTAACAAATGATGTCCTTGAAGAAGAGTGAACATCTCCTGGCAACGTTCTCTTTAATCTATGATGTAGGTTAATAGGAGTTTTGACGGATTATGAGGCAATGTATGTACCACTAAAATTTCTCACCTACATTGGGGCTTCATCTTTTATCTATCAAAGTATAAATATATTTATGTATAAGTCTGGATGCAAAATTCTTCACAAATAAAACTATACCCTATAAGTGCACATAATAGGCCCCCTTTTCATTTCCATTGTTCATAGAGGCATAAACAGGGAAAAAATATGCAAAGATAAGAGTCTCATGATAGTAGAAGTCTTGATTCGTGATCTTGGGAAAATCTGTTCACATCAAGGATGCCATCTTCTTCTGGAAAGAAACTTTCCTGGTTAGTTTTACCTTAAGGGTTTCAATGGGTGTACAGTTCCAAGAGTGTCGGGGTACCCTTCTCAGTTGTGAGATTATAAACCCAAGGTTCAAGCTTCCAGTTTTGTTGCAGTGTGGACGGCAAGGTCAATCTTTCTCTGATGTTCTCAGAAGATCCAATCTTCAGTTTCTAGACTATGAAGAGGTTGATTGTCCTCAGTGAACTATAAAAAACTTTCTATACCTGGTGAAAATATACTGTGGCATAATAATTAACTGCTATAACATAAAACATGCTTTAAAAGTGACAAGAAATCCCTTTCTAAGTGTTTAAATGACCCATCAGGTAGCCAAATGTACCTGAAGGTTTTATTGTCTTCCCAGGAGTATGGAAGCAAACATTGGTTTTAAACTGTTTTTGCAACGTATAAGTCACCACATCAATATATTCAATTTGTATTATTTTATCATTTCCATGATGAGTCATGGAATGAAGAACCTTTAATAACAAAAGCTTTAAGGACTCAGGAAGGACAGGGCAGTTGTCCTGGTTCTCCATGAGTCCATGCTTAACACTGGACTTATGTCCTCTTGAATACCAGTTGTTTTTCCGGTTTAGGGACTGATAACTAATGGGTTATCATGGGTAATTTGACTTAGACCGTAGAGTTCAAATTGTATATCTAACAATTTCAGTATATGCTAGTTTAACATAAAAATCTGTCAAGGTGTTTTCTTGGTATTTAATTAGTGTTTTTGTTCTACTTGAGTTAACAGTTTTTTACAAGGAAATTTGGTTATTTCTGTGGTGTAAATAACATAA
The DNA here is from genome assembly GCF_000001405.40 of Homo sapiens. Lineage (NCBI taxonomy): Eukaryota > Metazoa > Chordata > Mammalia > Primates > Hominidae > Homo > Homo sapiens. The sequence continues at coordinate 82,369,769 of NC_000003.12, forward strand.
TAACCATAATTATGATTGATAGCATATACTCAGGCATATTAGAATTTTAGAAATCCCATACAATTTTGGAACATATATTAATATCATTCACTAAAATATAACCTAAAGATTAAACATTATTTTTATTTTGACAATGGTTCCCATGTAACTTAACATGTTAAATAATTCTGTTTACCTCTCTTTAGGATGATTCAGGGGCACTCTGTAGCATTCCAAAGTTAGAGTTCTGAAAAGACCATTTTGAAGCTGAAATTTGATTTTAGGGAGCCTTTTAAATATGTTAAAAGTTTAAAACACTTGATATTATTAACTAGAATTCTAGGTCACCATAAGTCATTAGACTCAAACATTTTTAAAAAGGCAAAAACCTTTACTCATTGCTTGAGGAAAGACTTAGCTTTTCAAAAAATCTGCCTTTTGTCTTTTCCCTCTTTTTTTTTATGTATTTAAAAACAAAATAAAAATCTTTTGTTATCTTTTAATATTACATGAAAATCTTATTCAAGAGAGAAAGCAAAATTTCACCTTTGCATTAGTAGACTTTTTTATTATTATTATACTGTAAGTTCTAGGGTACATGTGCACAACGTGCAGGTTTGTTACATATGTATACATGTGCCGTGTTGGTATGCTGCACCCATTAACTCGTCATTTACATTAGGTATATCTCCTAATGCTATCCCGCCCCCCTCCCCCCACCCCACAACAGACCCCAGTGTGTGATGTCCCCCTTCCTGTGTCCAAGTGTTCTCATTGTTCAATTCCCATCTATGAGTGAGAACATGCGATGTTTGGTTTTTTGTCCTTGCGATAGTTTGCTGAGAATGATGGTTTCCAGCTTCATCCATGTCCCTACAAAGGACATGAACTCATCACTTTTTATGGCTGCATAGTATTCCATGTTGTATATGTGCCACATTTTCTTAATCCAGTCTATCATTGGTGGACATTTGGGTTGGTTACAGGTCTTTGCTATTGTGAATAGTGCCACAATAAACATACGTGTGCATGTGTCTTTAGAGCAGCATGATTTATAGTCCTTTGGGTATATACCCAGTAATGGGATGGCTGGGTCAAATGGTATTTCTAGTTCTAGATCCCTGAGGAATCGCCACACTGTCTTCCCCAATGGTTGAACTAGTTTACAGTCCCACCAACAGTGTAAAAGTGTTCCTATTTCTCCACATCCTCTCCAGCACCTATTGTTTCCTGACTTTTTAATGATCGCCATTCTAACAGGTGTGAGATGGTATCTCATTGTGGTTTTGATTTGCATTTCTCTAATGACCAGTGATGATGAGCATTTTTTCATGTGTCTGTTGCCTGCATAAATGTCTTCTTTTGAGAAGTGTCTCTTCATATCGTTTGCCCACTTGTTGATGGGGTTGTTTGTTTTTTACTTGTAAATTTGTTTGAGTTCTTTGTAGATTTTGGATATTAGCCCTTTGTCAGATGAGTAGATTTCAAAAATTTTCTCCCATTCTGTAGGTTGCCTGTTCACTCTGATGGTAGTTTCTTTTGCTGTGCAGAAGCTCTTCAGTTTAATTAGATCCCATTTGTCATTTTTGGCTTTTGTTGCCATTGCTTTTGGTGTTTTAGACATGAAGTCCTTGCCCATGCCTATCTCCTGAATGGTATTGCCTAGGTTTTCTTCTAGGGTTTTTATGGTTTTAGGTCTAACATTTAAGTCTTTAATCCATCTTGAATTAATTTTTATATAAAGTGTAAGGAAGGAATCCAGTTTCAGCTTTCTACATATGGCTAGCCAGTTTTCCCAGCACCATTTATTAAATAGGGAATCCTTTCCCCATTTCTTGTTTTTGTCAGGTTTGTCAAAGATCAGATAGTTGTAGATGTGTGGTATTATTTCTGAGAGCTCTGTTCTGTTCCATTGGTCTATATCTCTGTTTTGGTACCAGTACCATGCTGTTTTGGTTACTGTAGCCTTGTAGTATAGTTTGAAGTCAGGTAGCGTGATGCCTCCAACTTTGTTCTTTTGGCTTAGGATTGACTTGGCAATGCAGGTTCTTTTTTAGTTCCATATGAACTTTAAAGTAGTTTTTTCCAATTCTGTGAAGAATGTCATTGGTAGCTTGATGGGGATGGCATTGAATCTATAAATTACCTTGGGCAGTATGGCCAGTTTCACAATGTTGATTCTTCCTACCCATGAGCATGGAATGTTCTTCCATTTATTTGTATCCTCTTTTATTTCATTGAGCAGTGGTTTGTAGTACTCCTTGAAGAGGTCCTTCACATCCCTTGTAAGTTGGATTCCTAGGTATTTTATTCTCTTTGAAGCAATTATGAATGGGAGTTCACTCATGATTTGGCTCTCTGTTTGTCTGTTATTGGTGTATAAGAAAGCTTGTGATTTTTGCACGTCGATTTTGTATCCTGAGACTTTGCTGAAGTTGCTTATCACCTTAAGGAGATTTTGGGCTGAGACAATGGGGTTTTCTAGATATACAATCATGTCATCTGCAAACAGGGACAATTTGACTTCCTCTTTTCCTAATTGAATATCCCTTATTTCTTTCTCCTGCCTGATTGCCCTGGCCAGAACTTCCAACACTATGTTGAATAGGAGTGGTGAGAGAGGGCATCCCTGTCTTGTGCCCGTTTTCAAAGGGAATGCTTCCAGTTTTTGCCCATTCAGTATGATATTGGCTGTGGGTTTGTCATAAATAGCTCTTATTATTTTGAGATACATCCCATCAATACCTAATTTATTGAGAGTTTTTAGCATGAAGAGTTGTTGAATTTTGTCAAAGGCCTTTTCTGCATCTATTGAGATAATCATGTGGTTATTGTCATTGGTTCTGTTTACATGCTGGATTATGTTTATTGATTTGCGTATGTTGAACCAGCCTTGCATCCCAGAGATGAAGCCCACTTGTTCATGGTGGATAAGCTGTTTGATGTGCTGGTGGATTCGGTTTGCCAGTATTTTATTGAGGATTTTTGCATCGATGTTCATCGGGGATATTGGTCTAAAATTCTCTTCTTTTGTTGAGTCTCTGCCAGGCTTTGGTATCAGGATGATGCTGGCCTCATAAAATGAGTTAGGGAGGATTCCCTCTTTTTCTGTTGATTGGAATAGTTTCAGAAGGAATGGTACCAGCTCCTCCTTGTACCTCTGGTAGAATTCGGCTGTGAATCCGTCTGGTCCTGGACTTTTTTTGGTTGGTAAGCTATTGATTATTGCCTCAATTTCAGAGCCTGTTATTGGTCTATTCAGAGACTCAACTTCTTCCTGGTTTAGTCTTGGGAGAGTGTATGTGTCGAGGAATTTATCCATTTCTTCTAGATTTTCTAGTTTATTTGCATAGCGGTGTTTCTAGTATTCTCTGGTGGTAGTTTGTATTTCTCTGGGATCGGTGGTGATATCCCCTTTATCATTTTTTATTGCATGTATTTGATTCTTCTCTCTTTTCTTCTTTATTAGTCTTGCTAGCGGTCTATCAATTTTGTTGATCTTTTCAAAAAACCAGCCCCTGGATTCATTGATTTTTTGAAGGGTTTTTGTGTCTCTATCTCCTTCAGTTCTGCTCTGATCCTTCTGCTAGCTTTTGAATGTCTTTGCTCTTGCTTCTCTAGTTCTTCTAATTGTGATGTTAGGGTGTCAATTTGGATCTTTCCTGCTTTCTCTTGTGGGCATTTAGTGCTATAAATTTCCCTCTACACACTGCTTTAAATGTGTCCCAGAGATTCTGGTATGTTGTGTCTTTGTTCTTGTTGGTTTCAAAGAACATCTTTATTTCTGCCTTCATTTTGTTATGTACCCAGTAACCATTCAGGAGCAGGTTGTTCAGTTTCCATGTAGTTGAGTGGTTTTGAGTGAGTTTCTTAATCCTGAGTTCTAGTTTGATTGCACTGTGGTCTGAGAGACAGTTTGTTATAATTTCTGTTCTTTTACCTTTGCTGAGGAGTGTTTTACTTCTAACTGTGTGGTCAATTTTGGAGTAAGTGCAGTGGTGCTGAGAAGAATGTATATTCTGTTGATTTGTGGTGGAGAGTTCTGCAGATGTCTATTAGGTCCGCCTGGTGCAGAGCTGAGTTCAGTTCCTGGGTATCCTTGTTAACTTTCTGTCTCTTTGATCTGTCTAATGTTGACAGTGGGGTGTTAAAGTCTCCCATTATTATTGTGTGGGAGTCGAAGTCTCTTTGTAGGTCTCTAAGGACTTGCTTTATGAATCTGGGTGCTCCTGTATTGGGTGCATATTTATTTAAGATAGTTAGCTCTTCTTTTTGAACTGATCCCTTTACCATTATGTAATGGCCTTCTTTGTCTCTTTTGATCTTTGTTGGTTTAACGTCTGTTTTATCAGAGACTACGATTGCAACCCCTGCCTTTTTGTTTGTTTGTTTTCCATTTGCTTGGTAGATCTTCTTCCATCCCTTTATTTTGAGCCTATGTGTGTCTCTGCACGTGAGATGGGTCTCCTGAATACAGCACACTGATGGGTCTTGACACTTTATCCAACTTGCCAGTCTGTGTCTTTTAATTGGAGCATTTAGCCCATTTACATTTAAGGTTAATATTGTTATGTGTGAATTTGATCCTGTCATCATGATGTTAGCTGGTTATTTTGCTCGTTAGTTGATGCAGTTTCTTCCTAGCATCGATGGTCTTTACAATTTGGCATGTTTTTGCAATGGCTGATACCGGTTGTTCCTTCCCATGTTTAGTGCTTCCTTCAGGAGCTCTTGCAGGGCGTGCCTGGTGGTGACAAATCTCTCAGCATTTGCTTCTCTGTAAAGGATTTTATTTCTCCTTCACTTATGAAGCTTAGTTTGGCTGGATAGGAAATTCTGGGTTGAAAATTCTTCTCTTCAAGAATGTTGGATATTGCCCCCACTCTCTTCTGGCTTGTAGAGTTTCTGCCGAGAGATCCGCTGTTAGTCTGATGGGCTTTCCTTTTGTGGGTAAGCTGACCTTTCTCTCTGGCTGTCCTTAACATTTTTTCCTTCATTTCAACTTTGGTGAATCTGACAATTATGTGTCTTGGAGTTGCTCTTCTCGAGGAGTATCTTTATGGTGTTCTCTGTATTTCCTGAATTGAATGTTGGCCTGCCTTGCCAGGTTGGGGAAGTTCTCCTGGATAATATCTTGCAGAGTGTTTTCCAATTTGGTTCCAATCTCTCCATGACTTTCAGGTACACCAATCAGACATAGATTTGGTCTTTTCACATAGTCCCATATTTCTTGGAGGCTTTGTTCATTTCTTTTTATTCTTTTTTCTCTAAACTTCTCGTCTAGCTTCATTTCATTCATTTGATCTTCTATCACTGATACCCTTTCTTCCGGTTGATCGAATCAGCTTCTGAAGCTTGTGCATTCATCACGTAGTTCCCGTGCCATGGTTTTCAGCTCCATCAGGTCCTTTAAGGACTTCTCTGCATTGGTTATTCTAGTTAGCCATTCGTCTAATCTTTTCTCAAGGTGTTTAACTTCTTTGCATTAGGTTCGAACTTCCTCCTTTAGCTTGGGGAAGTTTGATCATCTGTAGCCTTCTTCTCTCAAGTCGTCAAAGTCATTCTCCGTCCAGCTTTTTTCCATTGCTGGTGAGGAGCGGCATTCCTTTGGAGGAGGAGAGGTACTCTGATTTTTAGAGTTTCCAGTTTTTCTGCTCTGTTTTTTTCCCCATCTTTGTGGTTTTATCTACCTTTGGTCTCTGATGATGGTGACATACAGATGGGGTTTTTGGTGTCGGTGTCCTTTCTGTTTGTTAGTTTTCCTTCTAACAGTCAGGACCCTCAGCTGCAGGTCTGTTGGAGTTTGCTGGAGGTCCACTCCATACCCTGTTTGCCTGGGTATCATCAGCGGAGGCTGCAGAACAGCGAATATTGCTGAATAGAAAATGTTGCTGCCTGATCGTTCCTCTGGAAGTTTCGTCTCAGAGGGTACCCAGCCATGTGAGGTGTCAGTCTGCCCCTACTGGGTGGTGCCTCCCAATTAGGCTACTTGGGGGTCAGGGACCCTCTTGAGAAGGCAGTCTGTCCATTCTCAGATCTCCAGCTGTGTGCTTGGAGAACCACTACCCTCTTCCAAGCTGTCAGACAGGGACATTTAAGTCTGCAGAGGTTTCTGCTGCTTTTTGTTCCGCTATGCCCTGCCCCCAGAGGAGGAGTCTCCAGAGGCAGGCAGGCCTCCTTGAGCTGCAGTAGGCTCCACCCAGTTCGAGCTTCCCAGTCGCTTTGTTTACCTACTCAAGCCTCGGCAATGGCGGGCGCCCCTCTCCCAGCCTCGCTGCCGCCTTGCAATTCAATCTCAGACTGCTGTGCTAGCAATGAGCGAGGCTCCATGGGTGTAGGACCCTCTGAGCCAGGCGCGGGATATAATCTGGTGCGCCATTTTCTGAGACTGTCGGAAAAGTGTAGTATTAGGGAGGGAGTGACCCGATTTTCCAGGTGCCATTTGTCCCTGCTTCCCTTAGCTAGGAAAGGGAATTCCCTGACCCCTTGCCCTTCCCGGGTGAGGCAATGCCTCGCCCTGCTTCAGCTCACGCTTGGTGCGCTGCACCCCCTGTCCTGCACCCACTGTCCGACAATCCCCAATGAGATGAATCCAGCACCTCAGTTGGAAATGCAGAAATCACCCATCTTCTGCATCACTCACACTGGGAGCTGTAGACTGGAGCTGTTCCTATTCGGCCATCTTGGAACCCGCATTAGTAGACTATTAATGCTGACCCCAATTTTGAATAAAACCTCATAGACAATCTATCCAATCTTAACCTGTTTGATCATAAGGTGAGATTTTCATAAACCATTTATAAAATTTACAAATTTTTGTTAAAGAGTAGATTAGTGCTTTAAGAAAACCCTGTTTTGTTTTTATTTCGATGTTCAATTTACAGGAAAAAACAAACAATACTCCTTTAAATTTAGTCAATATTTTCACAGAAAGAATTTCTCTTACAAGGTTAATTTTCTTTTACAAGGTTAATTTTTTTTTTTTTTTTTTTTTTTTTTTTTGAGACGGAGTCTCGCTCTGTCGCCCAGGCCGGACTGCGGACTGCAGTGGCGCAATCTCGGCTCACTGCAAGCTCCGCTTCCCGGGTTCACGCCATTCTCCTGCAAGGTTAATTTTTTTACAAACCTTTCACAACTTGTTTAAACCTTTTGCATTATAGTATTTAATTTAAATCCATCCTTTAACCCTCTAAACAAGGCAAAAGTTTACATTCCCATGACTTCTTATAATCTCCTACTAAAGACCCATTTCATTCTCCTCACATGCCTTGCATGGAAACTTATTTTTTCAGTAGTCTCAATTACATGTTATAATGGTAATTCTTAGCAACTTTCACTTTGGTGCATACATTTTTTTTGACAAATCCTTTCACGACTTACAAAGACCATCTCCGACATGCTTAGACTTTCTGACTTGTTCTAAACATCCCTCTTTTTAAACAACCAGTCATTTTTTCCTTAGGACAAGAATTTACCATACAAGATCCTTTCTTATATAAACGCTCTTTTCTTTATAATCTTCTTTGCATAGCTAGGGGGCATGGCTAATTCCACATATGTACAGGACTTATTTAAAATCTAATGTCTCCAAAATATATTGAACAATTTGCAAAAGTTAGAGAAGCAGTTTATGAATTGAAAGCATTTAGCAAACTTAGTATCTGACCTCCACTGTTTAGACCAAATATTTACATTTTTTGAAGATATTTTTATTTTACCAATAATCTTTAAAACAGTCTTTATTTCCCAAAGATTACTTAAGTCACATGAACTAAAAGGCATTACACTTTTTACTTTTCTGATAAAATATTTGATTTATCACTTATTTTTAAGGCAATTAAAGCTTTTTAAATATCACACACACAAAACACATATAAATACACAGACAGAAGAAGATAAAGGACTCATCCCCTAAGCTGGGAATTGAACCCTGAAACCAGGCCACCATTGTAAAATGAGAAACTACTGCCATGTGGTTACAAGGTTAAGCTCCCAAGGACATACAAGACAAGAGGGCAACCTCATCCAGTTTTTTTTTTTTGGTTTTTTGTTTGTTTGTTTGTTTTTTAGGGATCTGCAGCAAAGTTTGTAACTGGCCAGTTTGCTGGGCCAACCTGAAAAGTGGGCTTACAGGTGTCCTAAGCCAGTGTCCTATCCTAAGGAATGCCTCTTTCTTTATGACAGAACAATACAGACAGACACAGAAAGCACACTAGATTCACTACAGCTTAAGACTAGTCTCACAAATCCTTTTTCCCATTAATCAAAAATTTACAGAAGAGATAACCAGTGATTTTTAACACTTATTCAATTGATCTGCACACACACAAACACACACACACACACAAACACACACAGAGAGAGAGAGAGGCCAGAAATCTGACTGATAAGAAATTCTCACCCTTTTGCCAGCATGCCAAGCTTCTGAGTTCCCTTTCACTAAGCGGCCCTAGTGACCCAACTTGCTGCACATTAGCCCTGGGGTCCAAGCTGCAACACAAAGGAAAATTATCTTTCTTTTTCTGTTCTGGTCAGAGCAAAATACATGTGATAAAACACAGACATTAGCCACTCTGCTTAGAACCCAATATCAAACTGGCAGGGCTTAAATTTGCCCCTACATGGGCCCCATCATCTTTAATCTGACCTCAGACTATGAGTTTCAACACATAGTCTCTGGGCAAGATGGTTGCCCTGAGTAACAGAAAAGGTACGAAAAGAAAAGTGGAGAAAGAAAAGTATTGCCTATGGCAGAGTGGGGAGGGTGAAGAGCTTAGGGAGGCCAGAGCAAGACTCACCCACTGCAGCTGACACTGAATCAAAATTTCAGGCAGCTGTTTGTCATTAGTGAAGGGATCTTTTCCAGGAGTCTCTTCAGCTCTCAAGTTTCCCCTTTTGGAGAGGAAAAAGTTCCCCATGCTGCATGATCTTGTACATGCGTAATCCTGTCACCCACAGCCATCAGCAAAAAGCACAAGGCAGATTATTCTAAAGAGAATAGCAGCTAATATCACATAGTGATGAACCCATTCTTAGCTGAAGGGGATTTTACCAAGAGCCTTCATTTTAAAATGTACTTCAGTGTGTTGTTGTTCATTTGGAACATTTTGCTGTAAGTTATCTTTAGTAAGATTTCATCATTTTTGTAAGATTGTGCTGTCTCCCAGGGTTAATGTATAAGCCAGAAGGAACTCAGTTTTCCAGAAATTAAGGATCCCATTTTTACCTAAAATATTGGCTTTACTCTCAGGTTCTCTTGATTAACTTAGCCAATGATTTTTCACTGGCTAAGTGCGTTACCTAAGTGCACAAGAAAAATGAAACAAAGGGGTAGAACACAAAAATCCCTATGAATTTCCAAAATCCAAATTTTATAACCCCTGCAATACTACTGCTTATGACCAGTTCCTTTTTGACCTAGTCGGATGTAAGAGCCCTCTAACTGGATCCAAGCCAGTTAATTCCCAGATCAAATCCATTCCTGGACCCAGCCCAGTTTCTGTAGTGACTTCCAAACCCAGTTTGGATTAGAAATTTGCTCAAAGAAACTCGAAGCTCAAAACACAAATCCACGGAGTTCTGAAATTCAAGAGAGAAATCTTACCATGATTCCCATCACTCTGAGAGATCAATGGACACAAGTAGGTCCTGTAGGTACCTTGTTTGTTCACTCAGCCCTCCTGGGGGTTTCTAGAAGCTCTGCTACAGATCCTGCTTCTGACACCATCTGATAAAAGAAAAACTTCAGCTGAATTAAATTTAAAGAAGTTTGAGCAGTGAACAATTTTCAAATCAGGCAGCTCTCAGAATCACAGCAGATATGCAGAGACTTCAGCACAGCCATGTGGTGGAAGAAGATTTATAGACAAAAATGGAAATGATGTACAGAATTTGGAAGTAAGGTAAAGAACGGCTGGATTGGTTTCAAGTTGGTGTTTGCCTTATTTGAACACAATTTGAACACTTAGGAGTGCATGAATGGTTGAAGTATGGCAGCAGTGATTGGCCAAGACTCAGCTCTTCTTACAGGCATGTACTCCTAAGTTGGGTTTTTAATCTTGTCTACCTATTAAGCTAGGTTGCAGTTTGTCCACAAGGACTCAAATGTAGAAGTACAGAGTCCTTCTCAGGCCATGTTTAGTTCACTTTAACATTCCTATGTATTTTCTTATGTTATCCCCTCCACTACTGGTTGTGTGTCCATTTTGAGAGAAGAGTTTTGTAGATTTCTTAGATGTGAATTGCCGACCCGTAAATCAGCTAAGGAATTACCTTCTATGTGGAATTGACTTGAAATATACAGTAATAAAAACTATTATATGTTTGACCATTAAATCCCTTTTCACCATATCCATTTCTGTAAGACTGAAGAGTTAAGATTGCATCACAAAGAAGTTGAGGTGCTAAATCTTAGTAGATTTGTAATTATTTAAAATGGACTTAAAAAAAAACACATAGTCCCAAATTCTCAATAATCCAGTGACTAATCCTACTATTTATTTGCCACATCAGGTGTTTTATGATTTGCTTTGCATATGTTGACACTTTAATCATTAAATGCTTCTTAGTTTATCATATTTTAACATGGGGAATTGAAATCTTTAAAATGTATTTTATTCAGCATATATTTGGGTAATAAATACCAGAATACCTATTATTATTGGCAGTTGGATTATAAACAGAAAGTATAATTCAGCGATAAAAAGTTTTATCAATAGCCTCGGATATTTTGTCTGCTGTTCCAGCTGCCTAGTATCAATAGTTACCAGTCATGTCCTAGTCAGAAGTATTTTGGAGAAGTTGGGGTTTCAGAGTGTTAATCTACTTACACAGTAATCTAATTGAAGCAATAAAGTTTCATTTGAATCAGACATTCCATCTGCTAATCTCCTTGAGATTTTAGATAAACAAACTGAAAGAAATCAATCACCATTCCACAGCATGCCCTACAAGTTTTAGGATTCCTACGAGGCTATGAAATTGAGTGTGATCACCAATCTAAAATTGGAGTCCAATTACAAGGTAAAAAGAGAACAGAAAGAATATGAGTTATCACTATTTTAATATATATTGAACCATTCCTGAAGGAATTTTAAACTCTGTGACTTTAATTTCTGAAATTATGATAAAACTTTTGAAGTTGTGGTGGATGCTATTTGTACCCTGCCCAGATTGCATTTCCAAAGGTGTGGCCATCTTTCAGCAGTTGTGAATATTGGCTGCCAACTCTTCATAGCTGTCCGCTTCTCAAGAGAATCACCTTTAGGCGAACGGTGATGACTTTGTCAGGTAGTCACCACTGAGAGCATCCCAAGTCCTCATGGCCATGCCTAACTGTCACAAGGGCATGGAAGTTTTACCCCCTTGCACCTGGAGGTACTCAGTGTTGTAATTTGTGCATCAGAGCTTCCAGTGAGATCAGGCTTGAACTACTGTTTAGCAGAAACCACATCCTTGCTGTTTTTCCTGGCTTTATCCTGCTTTCCTCACTCTCTTTACCTGAAAGCATCCCTCAATTTAATCTTTTTTTTTTTTTTTTTTTTTGAGACAGAGTCTTGCTCTGTCACCCAGGCTGGAGTGCAGTGGTGCCATCTTGGCTCACTGCAAGCTCCGCCTCCCGGGTTCACGCCATTCTCCTGCCTCAGCCTCCCAAGTAGCTGGGACTACAGGCTCCCGTTACCACGCCTGGCTAATTTTTTGTGTTTTTAGTAGAGACGGGGTTTCACTGTGTTAGCCAGGATAGTCTCGATCTCCTGACTTCATGATCTGCCCGCCTCGGTCTCCCAAAGTGCTGGGATTACAGGTGTGAGCCACCGCACCAGTCAATCTCTTTAACAAGAATCCTCATCACAGGTTCCATTTCTTGAAAATCACACCTAAGACCTGAAAGTACCTATGAATAGAAACAGGAATATTATTATTTATTTTGCATCAATATCATCACTTGTCCTTAAGAAAAGACAATATCCAGTGTTTAATAGTAATTTTCTCTCTGCTAGGCGTTAAGCAAATTGTTTAAATATATCACTTGAATTTATAACTCCTAAAACACTATAAGTGGTAGTTGCTAAAAGTTTTTTTTTCTATTTTATAGATTAATAAACTGAGGCAAACAGAAACTAGGAAACTTGCAGAATAAATGAATAAAGAAATAAAATACATGCTACATGGCATACATTACAAGAATATGTCTCATGTTTTACATACAAAGAAATAAATCTGAGACTTCAGCCAGTACTTTACTGACTTTTATTAATACACCAGTTATGATGAGAAGGTAGGTAGTAATTATTATAGAGAAAAAATAAAATGGATTAAGGGAGATTGGGATACTTCTTTGTTTGTGTGTGTGTGTGTGTGTGTGTGTGTGTGTGTGTGTGTGTGTGTTTGTCTTTACTAGTGGCTGGTGTGGTAGGAATTTCTTGCCATTTTTTGCAGTCCTCACTGCTAAGGTGAGCTGAGGTATGAAACAAGTTAGAGAGGGACTGACAGTTACAGAAATCGTAAAGCAAAGCATTCTAGGCAATGGAACAGCAAGTTCAAAGGCCCAGAGGTGGGAATAGTTTGGATGTGTTAGTGAGAACATAACGGAGCGACAGAGGCTTCAGCTAGGGTGGAGTGAAAGAGGAGACATTTTCTTTACTCTTGGTGAGATGGAACACCAGTAACATCTTGAGCATAATCTGTCTCCCATCTCCTAAAGGTCCCTTAGGTCTGTGGTTCTGGGGCAAGAGTAGAAACTAGTAAAGCAGTTAGGACATGTTTATCATTTTTTGGGACAGATCAAAGAGGGTAGCTTGTATCAATGTGGTGATATGGAAATTGTGAGAAGAAACCACATTGTAAACATACTTTAAATCAAATGTTTATTTGTATAAAGAGTTAAACAAAATTATTATTCCTAGTCAACTGCCCTGATAGTTACTCTTAGAGAGCCACCTGCCTCTGTTGGTACTAAGCCTTAACAAATTTTCATGGCCTGTAGATTGAAATACAGAGCTCAAGTGGAATCCTGACTACCAGGATTCCAAGCAAGAGAGAAGAAACTGCATAATAAAGTGAGAAGAATTCATATCTGGGGTATGGGATGGATAGGGGTTTAAGAAAAAAACAGGGCTTTGGAGATGGGGAGCCAGATGACAGAATGCAGACTGGTACACCAGGGATTCCTCCCCACTGTTTCTCAAATCTTCGATGTTCCTACATTCTTGAGGTGATTGAATTTCTTGTGGAGCAGCAGCTGTTTCAAAACTAGGCTGACACGGGGATGAAGCAGAGACAGCATCAGGGACCACACAGTGGGGAGGCCTCTGGCAGACCCGGGGTTATTGGAAATTTAAGGAACACTTATTGAACTGAGTTCATTAGCCGCTTTGTCAGACTTCTAACCACAAAATCCCATACAAATCCCATCTAGCTCTAGTGGTTCTGTTGTTAATACCATAAAAATATACATTTTTTAAGTAGGCATGTATAACTAGGTGCTGTAATTTTCTAACCTTTCTAACAGTTTCCTTCAGTGCTCACCACTTCTTCACTCTCTCTTCTCCTTCCCTATCTCTTAGACAGGGAAGAAACTCTGCAAACCAGTGGGAGGAAAGTTCCCCACTGCCTTTTCTCTAAAACTGGACTATATACTTCAAGGAAAAAGCTGCGGCATGGAAATAAACCTAGACCTACCACCTGTGTTCCACCAAATTTATTGGTAGGAGGAAGGGGCAAAGGGCTTTCATATTAAAAATTCTAGAAAATACTTGTAGCTATCTAAACACATTTTCATAAATATATACCTTTGATTGTTCATTTGACATTCCTCATTAAGACAGAGAGAAATTCACATAGGCAAACATGTTAAATGTTTTGGCTAGACAATGAAGTTCTTTATAACCTGTTCATCTTTGTACTGTTCTATGAGAATAGGTGATATGAGGGAAACAGAAGTTTATTGCATATCCGTGCCTAAATGTATAAACTTTTAGCTTGACCCTTATTGAGCAAAATAAGATGACAAATCTAGTTAAATTTTTAACTGTGTTTTGCTGTCGTGACATGAATAAATTTAATCAACTGTAGAACAGACCATAGTATCTCTCACGTAATCTAATAAATCTAGTGAGCTTACAATAGATTCTGATTGTGAGTAAAATAAAGAGTTTTAAGATTTTATAATAAAAGTTTCAAAAGTGCCAGATATTGGTTTGCTTTTAAATGAAACATTGTACTTTAGGGAAATTTTTTATTTTTATGACATTTTAAAAACAGCAGGCATATAGAGTATGCATAAATTCCAGTCTTGTTTATGTTGATTATCTCAGTGAAATCCAATATCACAATCACATCTCAAAAAATGAAATTCAAGAAAGCATTATTATTGGTCAAACAGGTAGCTCAGTGGGATCAAAATAAATGTAAAAGTGTACAACTATTGTTTTCCAATAATAGCAAGAAAGTAACAAATATCTTTGGCAGAGGGACAGATTGATATTCTTTATAAATGCTTTTAATTAAAAATAATAAAAAGTCTTGCATATTGCCTTTAAAATGATGTAGCACATTTTGAAAGTCACAGCAGTAGCTCGAACCAACTTAAAAAAAGAGCAGTATCGTTCATCAGCTTTCACATAGGAGGAGCATGTGGGCAGTTTGAGATAATTTTAGCCGTTCTGAGCACTGTTACTTCTTTTTAGAAGGAGCCAATTTAATGCTTTACAACTTAAAAAATCATTTAAGTGGGTGTTCTATTTATATGCACAGATATAGCTACTGTCACTGGGGTGTAAAAAAACTAGTTTTATTACAATGCTATTAGGAAAAAAAAGCTAAATAAAAGTGCATAGTAAAATCTTATCTCCTATAAATGACTGTTTTTCATAAAGATGCTACTTGATAGGAATCTGGCTACATAATGCTTGAACTTACTACATTTTATATGCAATTTTCTACTCTTTTTTTCTTACAAAAATCAAGATGCAGAATTTGAAGTAATCATAGATTCTCTATTTAAATAAATATGCATAGTTACTGTCTATGTACCCTGTGAAAGATACATTAGCTTCCGTTAATTTTATAGCATTTACGATCTTACATTGTTACTAACTTCTTCATATGCTTAGTGGCCTAATGCCATTTGGTTTTATTAAATGTGAAAAGCATAATTTACAAAGCATTACAAAAGATTTGTATGTTACTTGAAGAAGCAAAGCACTGAAAGAAGTTCAATAATGTAGATAATTTTTTATGGTAGAGTTAATTTTATTGATGATCTTATTAATATATACTTATATATAGATACCATATATAAATTTATATTAAATATTCTAATTGACACACCTATAAAGATTGAATAATGCACTGATGTCGTTCTATAAAAGTTTTATATATAGATGTTTGTTATATATTATTAATATATATTTTAGTATGTATTTATGTATGCTATGTATTTATATATATAATATGTATGAAATTTACCACATGTATACATTTAATATGCATTATAAATGTGTAATGTATATTAATAATATATAGTGTATGATTATAATGTATATTAAATATACATGAGTACATATTATGTATGAATGTATATTTACATGAAAAACTTTTATAGACCATCACTTGTTAATATATATTTATAATAAATTGTATATTTATATATGAAGTTAGATATTTATAATATATTATACATTATATGTAATATTTATATATGTTAAATAATATATTTATATGTTAAATATACATGTAATATATGTAAATTTGTATAGAACATCAGCTGTTGTGTTTATTTGTAATAAATGGTATATTTGTATATAATTTTAAAGTTACATATTTATATGTAAAATATATATTATTTATTATATATTGTTACTATATTTATCATTTATTAAATATATATTTTGTATAATGCCTTTATAGAACAGCAGAAGTATATTTTTAATGTTTATGGGTTTTTAAGTTATAAATATTTAATAGAAGAGAGTCTCTTAAATTTCTGTCCTCTCTTAAGTTTTTGTATAATTACCACTATTCTAAAAACATTAACAGAATTTAATAATGGAAATGAGAAATTTCTAAGGAAAATGAGAACGACTCAAACTGACTTCAAGGAAGGTTAGTTCAGAGAAGTATAATAATAGGTGAAAGAAGGAGGACACCAATTTCTTGTTTAATGATGGGACATAAAAATTACACCACTTGCAAGACCACTTTCTGATTCATTACAGAGTATGATTTTGGTGTGAATTAATATATAGTCTTTGTCCCCTGGTGTCTGCAAGGGATTTATTCCAGAACTCCCACCGTCCCCACAGAGCATCCCTAAATCCTAAGATACTGAAGTCTTATATAAAATGGTGTCATATTTGCATATTACCTAGGCACATTTTCTCATATACTTTAAATGATCTCTAGATTATTATAGTACCTAATACAACGTAAATGCTATGTAAATATTTGTTATACCATATTGTTTAGGGAATAATGATAAGAAAAAATGTCTGTGCGAATTCAATACAGACACAACCATCATTGGCCTAGGTACATTTTTGATCCACAGTTGGTTAAATCCCAGATACAAGGGCTGACTGTATGGGTAAAGATTTTTCAGGAACTAAATATTTTTGAAAAATAATTGACTAGAGAATTGTATTATCCTGAACTAGAGGATATGATGATTGATTTTATTGTGATCCACATCCCATAAACTTAATTTTGCTTTTCCCAAAATACACAGAAAAGACTAGCAGATGGTGAGAAGAAATTAAAGCTGTTTAAAAACTCAAAGAAAAATTATTTTGTAATTGGAAACAGGAAAATTCCCTAAAGTATACAGTTTTTTTTCTATACTTATATGTTGCAGTTATAGGCTTTCTTATCTAATTGTTTATCAGTGCAAGAAAATGTGTTTTTAAATATGAACATTTAAAAAAAATTAAACTCCTTTAATTTGGTACTAGTGTATATATCTAAAACAACAGGTTTTGCTATGTTCAGTGCTTGCTGTTCACAGGAGTCTCGCAGCTGTTTCAATGGTAATGGTCCTCAGACACCTAATCATGGGTTCACAATATGTTCATCCTCTGCTTTTAATAGGCAAGTATCTTGAGACACTTCCCAGGGTGACGTAATTCCTGTTCTAGTTCTGTAATGCATCATGCTGCTAAAATAACAGAGAACAAGCATTGTGGCCTGAAAGGGGCTTCCTGAGTAGTGAATTTATGAAAAAAAGGAGGCAATGGTTTATTTGTTCTTTCATAGCAGGTAACATGTTAAAGTTACTAGGATTGTCAAAAGAAAACACAAAATATAACTCTTGGTTCCTGCTCTCATCTAAATTGCCAGTACTATTTCTCTCCATAATCATTCTCACCTGTTCTATATCCACTATTACTTGATACGGTAACACTGAACGTATTACAAAGTCAGAACATTTAAAAAGATTAAAACTCAAGGGAATAAGATTTACACGTAATTTACAATTTTCTGCTGTTTGCCCAAGGTTAATGTTCTATCATCCAACAACGAACTCATAAAGTAGAAAGGGATCTGGGAAACCATTTAGTGCACATAGCTCATTTTTAAGTGCAATTATGTTTTAAAAATTATTGCGAGCACTCATTCTGTTTCATCCATTTACTCTTTTGTGAGTATATGTGTTCACAAGGTTCTACTTTATTTGCATTAAAGATAAAATGAAAATCAACCCTTAGAAATCAGATTTACTGATATAAAACATTTGAAAGGAATATATATATATATATATATATATATATATATATATATATATATACACACACACATACATGAATATACATCACCTGCTCTTGTCCAACTTTTGGAAACTAATTTGAAGCTTCTTTATCAGGAAAGATACTATAGGAGTCATCTTACTCCAGACCACTTGTTCCCTTGTGGTCTATTAATTGTTTACAAAATATTTATTCCCTATTATCTTACTACTAAAATTATCGACCTTTTCTTGAACTTAAACATGTATTTTTTAGATGTTTGTGTATTGTTTATGCATCAACTTGTCTGTCCCTCTAGCACACTAGGGAACATTTAATGCTTACTATTGTGTACCAGGCTCTGTGCCTTCTAAGCATATTTAATTTTTGGTGGCAATATTGAAAAAATAGCTTTTGAGATATTATTTGAAGTTTATTCTCCACCCCCTTAGTCTTTTCACAATACTGATATACAGCAATGATGTATGCAGAAACCTTTGAATTTCATAAGCACCGTTTTCAGGAGAAAATTAATATTGTTAAGAACCAACTGTCAAATATCCCCTGGAAAAATCATGGCAGAGTCAATAGTCTTGAAAACCAAAATCCTTTAGATTTTCAAAGGTTGGATTCTGTGAAAGAAAAGTCCAAAAATATTGTAATGGTGATGAGCAGCAAAAGCCTGAAAAACTTGACCCAGAAACTACAGAGCTGTAAAGAATGCAGAATTGTGTAGAAAGAATTACCTAATCAGATTAGATAAAAATCCCATTGGTGGAAAACTTCAGAGAACTAGAATAACTATGGATCATAGGCCTTCTTTTCAATACTAGAGCAATATTTCAGTATCTCTTGACTTAAGATTACCGTCAGGTAGAAGGTTAGGAGAAATGGGAAAAGGAAAATTCTGAATTGAACAAATGGTTACTCAACAGACATGGAAATTTAAGCAAGAATTGATCAATCATGAATTGTCAAGATTGCAATAGATGTCATCATTAGAAATAGAATTCATGTACAGTTAAATTATTATAAAGCAATAAATAAACACATTTTTGCACAGTAGTTAGAATATAAATTTAACAGTTGCTAACCACAAAATGGGAATCAATTTCTGGAAGGAAAGACATCCAGGAACTATGAACTAGCAAGTCTGAATTTGTGCATACTTTTTCCAACTCTCCACTTATTCTTATAATGATAGTTTACCCTTTATTTCTAGTTATTTTTTAACTGTCTTTTAAATACGGTTATGTCCCAGACTATTATTTACCATTGGATTTCTCACTTATGGGACCTAGCACCATGGGACAGGATCCCGATTCTAACTCACTTAGAGAACGATTGGTTGGCCTATCTTGATTGCTGCTTCTAACTAATCAACTGTGGTTGGATGGTTGGGATTGGATAAGAAAAGACATGTGAGTCATACGTTATGAATATGGAGACTAGGACCAGTTTCATCAGGTGATGAGAAATTCTAATAGAAGGAGACGATAGTTAGATGAAGACTATAAGATACAGCATTTGCAATTTTATGATAACATTCTATTTAAGAAATTGAATCAACGGCCAGGCGCGGTGGCTCACACCTGTAATCCCAGCACTTTGGGAGGCCGAGGCGGGCAGATCACAAGGTCAGGAGATCGAGACCATCCTGGCTAACACGGAGAAACCCCGTCTCTACTAAAAATACAAAAAATTAGCCGGGCATGGTGGCGGGCGCCTGTAGTCCCAGCTACTCGGGAGGCTGAGGCAGGAGAATGGCATGAACCCAGAAGGCAGAGATTGCAGTGAGCCGAGGTCATGCCACTGCACTCCAGCCTGGGCGACAGAGCGAGACTCCATCTCAAAAAAAAAAAAAAAAAAAGAAATTGAATAAACATTGAAACATAATGGAAAACATAAACATGATAAGCATTTTAAACCATATTTATAGCAGGAACATGTATTCTTTCTCATTATGGTGAAACTTTATTAGAGGCCCTAATCTCCAAAACAAATCTTATGAACTCAATCTCTAATGATAAGTAAGAATTTTTTCCTCAAGTTATTTAAAGTTACATTAACAATAGGATTTTAGCAATTACACACCTGACTTGATTTATTTTAATATTCAGTGATACCACATCACCAGTTAATTCAGGCAAAAGAAGTTTTAGTCCAATTATTTTGACTACGTAAGATAAAAATATTAATCTGGGTTTAAAATATGCGGCTGAATCTGAGATTCCATGAGCTAACATAAATGTTACAAGTGTTCTATAATATGTGACATGTAACAAAGATCTAAGTATAAAATACAGACATTCTGGGCTGTGCATGGTGGCAAACGCCTGTAATCATGCCTGTGGGAGGCCGAGGTGGGCAGATCACCTGAGGTCAGGAGTTCAAGACCAGCCTGGCCAACATGGTGAAACCCCATCTCTACTAAAAATACAAAAATTAGCCGGGAGTGGTGGCGGGTGCCTGTAATTCCAGCTACTTGGGAGGCTGAGGCAGGAGAATAGCTTGAACCTGGGAGGCAGACGTTGCAGTGAGCTGAGATCGTGCCACTGCACTCCAGCCTGGACGACAGAGTGAGACTTCATCTAAAAAAACAAAAAGAAAAACCAGACATTCTAAGGTTTTATACTTTGAAGCTACCTTATCATTAAGTAGGTTATTTGGATAAATATATAGATATATTTGAAATAATGTGGCATTAAGAGTGATTACATTTTAAATGTATATTGTGGATAAAATATATATATATATGCAGTATCTTATATATTGTAAAGGTGAAGGCTTTACAATAAGAGAGAAACAAGTAAAGCTTTGGAAATTGCATGCTTTATTAACATGTAAATAAACTTAGTAGGAAATAATGGTGATAATGATGAAGTGAATATTAATATTTTCTGTTCTTTTCCAACATACTGATTATTTTGGTTTCTTTAAAATCTAGAACTGCAAATATGTTGGATGTCATGTCTTCAAATTTTGTGAAGATCTTACATATTAGTCTGGATCCTCATATATAATACCAAAAATTTTAAAAAATCAGAATCATATTTATATATGGGGTAACTGAAGGAACATTGACAAAGCAGGTGGTTAGGACTAGGGGCCTCATTTGTGAATGTTTTCTCCAATATCTATATGACTGTCCTGCAAAATCTTCAAGAAAGAGGCAATTACCTATATATCTCCACAATAAAGATAGAGCATTCAGTAGAATGAGTGATAGTAACCAGGGAGGTAAATGGGTTGTCAGACTCTGTCACCTTATCGCTGAGAATATCCCACATAAAAATGACAGGGATGATATGTGATGGCCTTAGACTTAAATGGTAGCCAAGCAAAAGATAGAAAAGGATAATCACCTCTACACAGGAAATCTGATTTATTCCTTAGTGTGGGAAGGTGAGCTGTGTTACAGATGCCCAAGGTATTGTTACAGACTCAGAATAGTAAAGATGGCACATTCATATGTTGTATCAGTGGAGGATGATAATTATTCTCTCAAAACAATGTTAATGCTACTTTTCAAAAGGAAACTTCAGAGTGGGAAGCAAAACCGTGGCAGCTACCCATGTGCTTTGAGTTGAGGGGAGCCTGTTCTCTCAATTCAACAGACAAGTGGTTTTCTTTCGTTTTCTGTCAGGAGATGAACTCCTCGGCATGAAGGCGTTACAAATCCAGAAAAGTAAAGGGACAAAATATCCTGCCACAGAGTTAAAATGTTGTCAGTAAAGGACAGCAATTAATCTAATAGTGTTTTTTTTTTTTTTCAATTTAGTCATGAATTAATTTGTTACAATCTTTTCTTCAAAAGGAATGAAACCCAAATAAACACATGTAAACAGAGAAAAGTATTCAAATATGTCCTGAATATGGCACATTAATGAATACTAGTGGGAGAAGCAATGGTGTGGAATTCATATTTTCACGGAAAAAGGAATACATGTGTCTGTTCCATCTAGATCATCTAGGTATATAGATCCCTCTTTATTTTTATAAGACCATAAAGCTTTAGTAATAGATTCAAAAATTAGAATTGAGGGTATTTCTACAGGAAATCTCAGCTCTGTCAGACTTTTTCAAGCATAATTTGCAAAGTAGAGTTTTGCAGGTCATCCTTTAAATGCAGTGCATCTGTATGAAGATAGGAAGTGTTCATCTTTTCCTAAACCAAGGAATTTACTCACTGTCTGCGCTTCCTCCCAATATACTGACATGTAACATGGATTCTGAAGACAAGGCTAAAGATAAGAAAAGGGAAACATCAAAAGTTCTGAGAGTAAATTATTATTAAAACGAAGTAGTATTCATTATATAATAGCTACTTTAAAAATCACCTTAGGCGGCTGGGCACGGTGGCTCACGCCTGTAATCCCAGCACTTTGGGAGGCCAAGGCGGGTGGATCATAAGGTCAGGAGATCGAGACCATCCTGTCTAACACAGTGAAACCCCGTCTCTACTAAAAATACAAAAAATTAGCCTGGCGTGGTGGCGGGCACCTGTAGTCCCAGCTACTCGGGAGGCTGAGGCCGGAGAACGGCGTGAACCCGGGAGGCGGAGCTTGCAGTGAGCCGAGATTGCGCCACTGCACTCCAGCCTGGGTGACAGAGCGAGACTCTGTCTCAAAAAAAAAAAAATTTACCTTTGGCATCCAGTTCCTTCTAGCTTAACTGTAAAATAAACATTGATTCAAATAAATCGAGGCAGGAA
Source organism: Homo sapiens (assembly GCF_000001405.40). Classification (NCBI taxonomy): domain Eukaryota; kingdom Metazoa; phylum Chordata; class Mammalia; order Primates; family Hominidae; genus Homo; species Homo sapiens. The sequence continues at coordinate 82,392,182 of NC_000003.12, forward strand.
ATAAATTGATACAAATTTTGCGACTCAACTCATGACAACTTCCTGCTGTGAAATATGCCAAGTATCAAAAAATGCAATAATTTGCAACATCCCAAACTAAACTATTATCCTAGAAATCCAATGTAGCTGACACAGATACAAGCTTCAACCTCTGATGGAGAGCAAGAGCTATGACTGGAAGGTTGCTCAAGGGACAATGTAATCTTACCTACAACTTGCTTCTGACTCATAGTCTGAATGCACTAGAAAACTGCAAATTGCTTTTCAAGTTGGCTAAGCACATTTTGACCCTCAAATGCTCTCTTGATTTCTTTTAAATATTCATTTGTCACCATAATTAACATAAATGAGGCATGCCCTTTGGTAGAAGAGGAAGATTGAAGCATGATGCAACCAGCATTTAAAGATAGGAATAGATAAGTAGCTGGATCAGGAAAAGCCACAGGAGTGAGCACTGCATGGTGGCCATATTGCATCCAGGATTTTTCAATAAGGAGTCAACTAAAGACTACAGTAAAGACTAATTTCTCCACCACACTTTATGAAAAGAAGGTGAATTACCAAGAATTTTTCCTTCAATCCAGACATCAAAACAGATTAATACCAGACACCAGAAATTTGACTAAAGCCTATGTCCCTCTATTTAACTCTAGCTAAATATCAGAATTGTGTTTACTGTGGTTAAATATAAATATCATAAAATTTATTATTTAACGTTTTTTAAATTTACATTTCAGTGGCATTAAGTACATTGTTGGGCAACAATTAAAACCACCCATCTAGAGAACTGTTTAATCTTCTCAAACTGAAGCTCCATGCCCATTAAACAATAGGTCCTCATTGTCTCTCTTCCCAGCCCTTGGCAACTTCCATTCTACTTTCTTTATCTATGAATTTGACTACTCTAGTGAGGTATGTCAAATAAGTGGAATCATAAAGTATTTTTCCTTCTTTGACTGGGTTATTTCACTTAACATAATGTCTTCAGGGTTTATCCATTTTGTAGCACACACTGGATCGTCCTTCCCTATTTTAGGGCCAAATAATATTTCGTTGTATGAATATACCACATTTTGTTCTTCTATTCATCTGTCCATGGACACTAGGATTACTTCTGCCTTTTGGCTATTGAAAATAATGCTGCCATGAGCATAGATGTACAAATATCTGTTGGAGTAACTGTCTTCAATCTTGGGAGAATATACCCAGAAGTGGAATTGCTGGATCAAATGCTAATTCTATGTTTAATTTTTTGAGTCACCACCATATGATTTTCCATAGGAGCTGCATCATTTTATATTCTCACCAGCAATTCAGAAGAGCTCCAATTTCTCCAATTTTTGTTGAAATTTGTTATTTTCTGTTCGACTTTTTGAATGTATGCATGCTTGTATATCATCACCATCTTAATGTGTGTGAATTGGTATATTATTATGATTTTAATTGCATTTCCTTAATAATATTATGTTGAGCATGTTACCATGTGCTCATTGTCCATTTGTTTATCTTTGGAGAAATATCTATTCAAAACCTTTTCCCATTTTTAAATTAAGTTGTATATGTTATTGTTGAGTTGTATCATTATTATTCTTTTATTTGTTACAGTAGAAGTTTTATATTCATCCTGACCTTACTGATGTCTGCACTAAATTCATACTTTTACCACTTCCTAGTCAATGTAATGATCTAATGGCATCAATAAGTGTTATTTCATTATGAAGCTAATAAAAATTATTATAAACGGCAATTGTTAGTATTAAAAATGGATGATAAATCCTACTGGATTAGAGAAAACAGAAGTAGCAGGAGGAGGAAGAGAATGAGGAGAAGACGAAGAATAGAATTGAATAAGAATAGGTATATAGAGCGAGAATGGAAAGTTTCTAACACAACGAAATGATAAATGTTTGAGATAATGTATACCTCGGTTACTCTGATGTGATTATCACACATTGTATGCCTGCATCAAAACATCACATACGCATCATAAATATGTACTTTTACTATGAACCCATAAAAATGTAAAATAAAAATACTTTAAAGAGACTAGGTATAAATCCCATGAAATATTAAGAAAAGGTAAAATGACATAAAACCAAATATTTAAGTGATTTTGGTAAATAAAAATAAATAGAAATTTCTGCAGGCAGTAACCATTTTCTTCCAATCATTGTGTGTTTAATAGTTTCCAATTTAATAATAATGCAATATATTAGTAATCATTAGAGATATAGGTTGGTAACATAGGATAAAATCAGAGGTAACAGATCCATGACAATTTCCTTTGCTTTTAGAATTCCTAAGAAAGGCCAAGGGTGTGAAGTTGTTAGGGACACTGTGCAAGATACACAGAGTTTAGACACATCCGGAAATCTCAATTCTTTCAATACCTCTTGGTACTGAAACGATGATCCTAGCATAACTTATTCTAAACATCTAAGTGTTTCCTTTTAAGGGAATCTATAAATATCATCCTGTCCTGTTAAATATTGTCCTGTCCTGTTTCTTAAAAGAATTTCAGTCATAGCAAGGTCACATTATCATCCTAGAGGAAGGACCAGAATCTGCGTCTGGTTGGTCTTGAAAAATACCTGGCTTCTCAGAGTTCCCTAACTCTTCCCTAGTTCCCTGCCCTGCCCTGTGCTGCCCTGCCCTGCCCCTCCCCTGCTCTTCCCTCCTTTCCCTTCCTTCCCCTCCCTCCTCTCTGTCTCTTTCTCTCTTTCTCTCCTTCTCTCCTCTATCTCTTTCTTTCTCTCTTTCTCTCTTTCTTTTCTTTCTTTCTTCCTTTGTTTCTTTTTCTCCCTTTCTTTTTTTCTCCCCTTCTTTCTTTGTTTCTTTCCTTCTCTCTTTCTTTTTTTGCGACAAAGTCTCACTTTGTCACCCAGGCTGGAGTACAGTAGTGCAATCATAGCTCATTACAGCTTCAAACTCCGTGGCTCAAGGGATCCTCATCCTTCAGCCTCCTGAGCTGCTAAGACTGCAGGTACCTGCCATCACATCTGGCTACTTTTTAAAATTTTTTTGTAGAGACAAGTAATTCCTATGTTGCCTATGTTGCCTAAGTTGGTCTCAAACTCCTGGGCTCAAGTTATCCTCATGCCTCAATCTCCCAAAGCACTGGGAATACAGGCATGGCCCACTCATTTCTCTATATCCTCATATCAAAGGACAAAGGTTTTAAAGTAGGTATCAAACAAAATAGACAAAAGCATTACACTATCAAAACATACACCTGAGTCAAAGAGGCATAGGAAGATTTTAAAAGTCAAAAGCCAAGTAAATAAAAGCAGAAGACAGTAAAATATGAAATAGTAATTCTAGAAAAATTTAAAACAAAAGTTGTTGCATAGCCCAAAAATAATTTTTATATATTGAAAATATAAAGTTCATAAACGTGTAAGTTATGAAGATTTAGTAGTGAATACCATTAACAAACTAACAAAAAATAATTATAAGAAATGAAAGAGGAAACAGAGAAACATCATTGTAGAACATGATCTTCCTATACTTTTTAATTCTTTGACCCAAAAGCAGAAACAAAGATGTTGAAAAACAGGATAATATAATGTAAAAACTAACAAAGAATAATCAAGCATCAATGTAATATTTAGAAACACTCATAATGTATGTGTACTGTAAAGTGAAAAATTGTTATTTTCCCAATTAGAATTGTGTATATAAATTTCTGACCACGATCCAACAATTTTAGAAATAAATAATGAATTTTTAAACAAAATAAATGAGCACTTAAAGAAATATTAAGGTATTTTGGGTAAGAAATAGAAAACAATTGTAAAGTTAATGTGGAAAAATAGTTAAAAATAATCAAATTTGAAAATATGAAGTTACATGCTTTTCTACATAATAAATATGTGATAAAGATGGACTAATTTGAAAAGTGAATTCCTGTAAGAAAATATCCATTACACAGACAAAAAGCTCCAGAAAAGGACTTTAGAAGGGACTTATATGTATAATAAAATTGAGAATTTAAACCACTCATGACATATGGGTTTTTGTTGTTGTTGTTGTTGTTGTTGTTGTTTTGAGACAGAGTCTTGCTCAGTCACCCAGGCACTGGAGTGCAATGGCACAGTCTCGGCTCACTGCAACCTCTGCCTCCTGGGTTTAAGCGATTCCCCTGCCTCAGCCTCCTGAGTAGCTGGGACTACAGGCATGCGCCACCACGACTGGCTAATTTTTGTATTTTTTGTAAAGGTGAGGTTTCACCATGTTGGCCAGGCTGGTCTCAAATTCCTGACCTCGTGATCCGCCTGCCTTGGCCTCCCAAAGTGCTGAGATTACAGGCATGAGTCATCATGCCTGGCCAACATATGGTTTTTTAATAAATGTACTGGGGTACATTTTAAGGTATTTGGATAAAAATAAAGCAAAACCCCTAACAATACTATACACAAAAAGCAATAAAATTCAACTTTTAAATAGAAAGAAGGTGGGGAGAAAGAAAGGAAGAATAAAAGGAGGAAAAACTCAGAGCAATTATTTAACACGAATTTGGGAACTGATTGTCTAGTAGCTGTATGGGTGTTCTTTTTATATTACTAAACATACATTTTCCCCAAAATAACTATATATTTCTTTTTAATATTTATGTAATAGCCTAAATGTATTAAGTGGTATATGTGTTCTTTTTGTATAATTAAACATACATTTCCCAAAAATATTTCTGTATTTCTTTTTATTTTTGTATATCTAAATACAATGAGCATCCACTTTCATAGCAGAAAGACATACCACTTGATTTTTGCAAAGTAGTGTATTAGCAAGTAGGCCCCAGATGCATGCCAGCTGTGTACTCTCTCTAGATCCCATGTCTTCTAGGAGAAGAAGGTTTTTACTGACCCTGACTTACAAAGAGAGAGTAAGTTGCGCTTAGGACAAGAAGCCAGGAAGAGCTTGCTTGGAGGTGGGGAAGCAAGAGAAAGCATAAGAGGTTATCTCTATATTATCTAAAGAAGGACTTTGTACTTTGACAAAACATCTTTGTTAGGAAGCAAAAGTTTTCAAGTTGTAATAAAACACAATTATTTTAATCTCATCTTTTAATTCTAATAGTGAAGATAAGTCTGCTAAATGTTTGTTGAGTGAGCTACATTCATGTTTAATTTGCTGTTCGTGATTTGGAGTTTTTGTTTAGCTGTAGATTACTAGAGAACGTCTAATTGAAGAGTAAATATAATGCAAAAGCACAAAAAAAGGGGCATAGAAGCTTGAAAAGTATTTGCTAAGTACATTTTTACATGTTTTAATATTACATGCCCAAATATTACATGCCTCAAATTAAAATGCAAATAGCAAATTAGAAATAAATATTTGAAGCCTGTATGAACAAAGGTGTTCTATCTTTAATAAAATGATCTTATGTATCAGTAAAGAAGGGAAAATTCTCTGATGGAAATAAAGGCAAAATATTTTTAACACATGGCAACAGAAGAAATACCAAAATCTAGGAGACCTACTTAAGTTTTATGCTCCCTTTGAATTAAGAAATGAAAACAATTCATGTAGCAGAAGAAGGCATGATAAACCTGTTTTTCCTAAACTATGAGTTACTTTATATCGGCATAAAAATTATAGACAGCAATTTGACACTATTTATAAAGAAGCTTAGAAATATCCTTGGCTTTCAGCTTGAAATTTTATTTCAATGGCTGTCTCCTAGGGAAGTAATCAAACATCATTTGCAAGAATATTTGTGGAAAGATTATTTTCAATAGCCAAAACACACACGTGCGCATACATGCACATACACACGAGCACACAAAGCTGAAATTCCACAAGAGATATCTGTTGATTAAATTATTGCACAAAGAATATTTGTTGATGATGGCACTAAATTAAATTCTAGCACTAATTTGAGGCCAATTGATATGCTTTCAAAAACATAACAAAATTGTGATAAAATGCTAAATGAACTTCTAGGATAAAAAACATACAGCATAGTCTTGATATTTTTGAAAAAATATTTCTCAAATCATTAGGTAACAGTTTACAGAGATCTCCACCTGTGTGATCTCTCTCTGTCTCTTGTCTCTCTCTCATTTACCTCTCTCTCTCACACATATACACACACATTTCTCTCTCTCTTTCATTTATTCCCCCAACATTTCAAAGATATTCAGTGTCTACTATTTAGTAAGTATTTTAATACATGTCAGGCTGATAATGGGAAATAGTGGCCAGACTGAAGAATATATCATAAGGTCAGAAACTTTTCTTTGAATAGATTTAAAGTGGAGACTTTAAGGAATAAGGAAAGAAAACCAAAACTCTTATTTCAGGAAATATAGCTGTAGATGACGACTGTAGGTGACCTATGTAGGTGAATGCTAAAAGTGCGCCGATGGTGGAAATGGGGGAAAAATGTCAAGTGAAAGAAACAAGAAAAGAGGGAGAGGAAACGCTCCCTTTTTTAATTTTTAGAACTTGCATAGTACTTGTCATGCTTAGCATTTTACTTTTGCACTTTCTTTTCATCTTCTTGTTACTGAGAGCTGAGGCTTGAAGCTAGGATTTAATCGTGGTTCTGTGAGACTGCAAAAAGTGTGGGAATTCTGGGTGTGATATTTTTCTATATTGCTTCTTAAGTTAAATTGCACCCTAGTCATTATGTTAGAAAAATGTTCTTGAATAACTTGTTTATACTGAGGATGAATTATAATAAAGATAATTTAAAATTTGTTAACTACTTAGGAAAATATTCTGTATGTGCTTTAAAATGATAATTCAATCAAGTATAAGCAAGCATATCCTAAGCATAGATATTCCTAGGTATCTACATGTGGAAAAGATTTAACATTCAACCAATATAATGTACGTTTTATAGAAACAGAAACTGTCTCACAGAGAGGGAAGAAGAATTTTAATCCCGTTTCAGTTTCCACCAGTAATACTAGCCCTTTCATTTATTTTTTAATGTGCTGTCTTGTTCATTTTGTTTTGCTATCACAGCATACCACAGAGTAGGTAATTCATAAACAAAAGAAATGTATTTGGCTCACAGTTCTGGAGGCTTGGAAGTCTAAGAGCAGGGTGCTGGCATTTGGCATTTCTGCATCATGCCATGGCAGAAGGTGGAAGAACAAGAGAGTGAGAGAGAACAAGAGTAAGCAAGAGGGGGCCAAACTCACTTTTATAACAAACCCACTCACCAGACAACTAACCCACTCCTGAAATAATATTAATTGATTCCAGAAGGCAGAACCCTCATGACTCAGTCACTTGTTAAGACCCACCTCCCAACACTGTTGCACTAGGGACTAAGTTTCTCGCACATGAACTTTGGGGGACACATTCAAACCATAGCAAATGCAAAAGCAGCAATTCTCCACACTTTAAAACTGATCATTAATATTTTAATAGGCATAAACAATATAATTTTTGCATAATTAAATCTTCTTAAATGTTATTTTCTAAATTTTCTGGCAGATAAGATTTCTGTTTTATTTGTATATTTTACTATTCAATTAACAATCTGTCTGGGATAAAATGTATAAGCTGCGTTTGGACAATTTGCAGTGTTTTGCCAATTTGCATAGATACTAACCATTTCATTTAAATATTCAAATAAATGCAACCAATACAGGAGCACCCAGATTCATAAAGCAAGTCCTTAGAGACCTACAAAGAGACTTCGACTCCCACACAATAATAATGGGAGACTTTAACAGCCCACTGTCAACATTAGACAGATCAAAGAGACAGAAAGTTAACAAGGATACCCAGGAATTGAACTTAGCTCTGCACCAAGCAGACCTAACAGACATCTACAGAACTCTCCACCCCAAATCAACAGAATATACATTCTTTTCAGCACCACACCACACCTATTCCAAAATTGAGCACGTAGTTGGAAGTAAAGCACTCCTCAGCAAATGTAAAAGAATAGAAATTATAACAAACTGTCTCTCAGACCACAATGCAATCAAACTAGAACTCAGGCTTAAGAAACTCAAAACCGCTCAACTACATGGAAACTGAACAACCTGCTCCTGAATGACTACTGGGTACATAACGAAATGAAGGCAGAAATAAAGATGTTCTTTGAAACCAATGAGAACAAAGACATAACATACCAGAATCTCTGGGACACATTCAAAGCAGTGTGTAGAGGGAAATTTATAGCACTAAGTGCCCACAAGAGAAAGCAGGAAAGATCTAAAATTGACACCCTAACATCACAATTAAAAGAACTAGAAAAGCAAGAGCAAAAACATTCAAAAGCTAGCAGAAGGCAAGAAATAACTAAGATCAGAGCAGAACCGAAGGAAATAGAGACACAAAAAACCCTTCAAAAAATTAATGAATCCAGGAGCTGGTTTTTTGAAAAGATCAACAAAATTGATAGACTGCTAGCAAGACTAATAAAGAAGAAAAGAGAGAAGAATCAAATAGACACAATAAAAAATGATAAAGGGGATATCACCACCGATCCCAGAGAAATACAAACTACCATCAGAGAATACTATGAACACCTCTACACAAATAAACTAGAAAATCTAGAAGAAATGGACAAATCTCTCAACACATACATCATCCCAAGACTAAACCAGGAAGAAGTTGAATCTCTGAATAGACCAATAACAGGCTCTGAAATTGAGGCAATAATCGATAGCTTACCAACCAAAAAAAGTCCAGGACCAGACGGATTCACAGCCGAATTCTACCAGAGGTACAAGGAGGAGCTGGTACCATTCCTTCTGAAACTGTTCCAATCAATAGAAAAAGAGAGAATCGTCCCTAACTCATTTTATGAGGCCAGCATCATCCTGATACCAAAGCCTGGCAGAGACACAACCAAAAAAGAGAATTTTAGACCAATATCCTTGATGAACATTGATGCAAAAATCCTCAGTAAAATACTGGCAAATCAAATCCAGCAGCACGTCAAAAAGCTTATCCACCATGATCATGTGGGCTTCATCCCTGGGATGCAAGGCTGGTTCAATGTATGCAAATCAATAAGTGTAATCCAGCTTATAAACAGAACCAAAGACAAAAACCACATGATTATCTCAATAGATGCAGAAAAGGCCTTTGACAAAATTCAACAACTCTTCATGCTAAAAACTCTCAATAAATTAGATATTGATGGGACGTATCTCAAAATAATAAGAGCTATCTATGACAAACCCACAGCCAATATCATACTAAATGGGCAAAAACTGGAAGCATTCCCTTTGAAAACAGGCACAAGACAGGGATGCCCTCTCTCACCACTCCTATTCAACATAGTGTTGGAAGTTCTGGCCAGGGCAATCAGGCAGGAGAAACAAATAAAGGGTATTGAATTAGGAAAAGAGGAAGTCAAATTGTCCCTGTTTGCAGATGACATGATTGTATATCTAGAAAACCCCATCGCCTCAGCCCCAAATCTCCTTAAGCTGATAGGCAACTTCAGCAAAGTCTCAGGATACAAAATCAATGTGCAAAAATCACAAGCATTCTTATACACCTATAACAGACAAACAGAGAGCCAAATCATGAGTGAACTCCCATTCATAATTGTTTCAAAGAGAATAAAATACCTAGGAATCCAACTTACAAGGGATGTGAAGGACCTCTTCAAGGAGAACTACAAACCACTGCTCAAGGAAATAAAAGAGGATACAAACAAATGGAAGAACATTCCATGCTCATGGGTAGGAAGAATCAATATCGTGAAAACGGCCATACTTCCCCAGGTAATTTATAGATTCAATGCCATCCCCATCAAGCTACCAATGACTTTCTTCACAGAATTGGAAAAAACTACTTTAAAGTTCATATGGAACCAAAAAAGAGCCCGCATCGCCAATTCAATCCTAAGCCAAAAGAACAAAGCTGGAGGCATCACACTACCTGACTTCAAACTATACTACAAGGCTACAGTAACCAAAACAGCATGGTACTGGTACCAAAACAGAGATATAGACCAATGGAACAGAACAGAGCCCTCAGAAATAATGCCGCATATCTACAACTATCTGATATTTGACAAACCTGAGAAAAACAAGCAATGGGGAAAGGATTCCCTATTTAATAAATGGTGCTGGGAAAACTGGCTAGTCATATGTAGAAAGCTGAAACTGGATCCCTTCCTTACACCTTATACAAAAATTAATTCAAGATGGATTAAAGACTTACATGTTAGACCTAAAACCATAAAAACCCTAGAAGAAAAGCTAGGCAATACTATTCAGGACATAGACATGGGCAAGGACTTCATGTCTAAAACATCAAAAGCAATGACAACAAAAGCCAAAATTGACAAATGGGATCTAATTAAACTGAAGAGCTTCTGCACAGCAAAAGAAACTACCATCAGAGTGAACAGGCAACCTACAGAATGGGAGAAAATTTTTGCAACCTACTCATCTGACAAAGGGCTAATATCCAGAATCTACAATGAACTCAAACAAATTTACAAGAAAAAAACAAACCACCCCATCAAAAAGTGGGCAAAGGCTATGAACAGACACTTCTCAAAAGAAGACATTTATGCAGCCAAAAAGCACATGAAAAAATGCTCATCATCACTGGCCATTAGAGAAATGCAAATCAAAGCCAAAATGAGATGCCATCTTACACCAGTTAGAATGGCAATCATTAAAAAGTCAGGAAACAACAGGTGCTGGAGAGGATGTGGAGAAATAGGAACACTTTTACACTGTTGGTGGGACTGTAAACTAGTTCACCCATTGTGGAAGTCAGTGTGGCGATTCCTCAGGGATCTAGAACTAGAAATACCGTTTGACCCAGCCATCCCATTACTGGGTATAAACCCGAAGGACTGTAAATCATGCTGCTATAAAGACACATGCACACGTATGTTTATTGCGGCACTATTCACAATAGCAAAGACTTGGAACCAACCTAAATGTCCAACAAAGATAGACTGGATTAAGAAAATGTGGCACATATACACCATGGAATACTATGCAGCCATAAAAAATGATGAGTTCATGTCCTTTGTAGGGACATGGATGAAACTGGAAACCATTATTCTCAGCAAACTATCGCAAGGACAAAAAACCAAACACTGCATGTTCTCACTCATAGGTGGGGATTGAGCAATGAGAACACATGGACACAGGAAGGGGAACATCACACACCAGGTCCTGTTGTGGGGTAGGGGGAGAGGGGAGGGATAGTATTAGGAGATATACCTAATGCTAAATGACGAGTTAATGGGTGCAGCCCATCAACATGGCACATGTATACATATGTAGCAAACCTGCACGTTGTGCACATGTACCCTAAAACTTAAAGTATAATAATAATAAAATAAATAAATAAATAAATATTCAAATAAAAGTGAGGTAGTGACACGGTTTGGCTCTGTGTCCCCACACAAATCTCATCTCGAATTGTAATCCCTAGGTTTTAAGGGTGGGACCAAGTGGCAGGTGATTGGATTATGGTGGCAGTTTCCTCCATGCTCTTCTTGTGGTAGTGAGTGAGTTCTCATGAGATCTGATGGTTTTTAAGTGTTTGGTAGTTCCACTCTTGCTGTCTCTCTCTCCTGCTGCTTTGTGAAGAAGGCGCCTGCTTCCCCTTTCATCATAATTGTAAGTTTCCTGAGGTCCCCCCAGTCATGCAGAACTGTGAGTCAATTAAATCTTTTTCCTTTATAAATTACCCAGCCTCATGGAAGTTCTTTATAGCAGTGTGAAAAAGAACTGATACAGGTAGGTAATATGCCATGTGTAGTGTATTCATTAAAGAATTCAACTGGAAAATAATATTTTCTCCTATATAATTACCTGATAAAAACTTAGGGAACAGACAGGAACTGAATAGCAAAAGACAGTGTAAATATGTTTCTAAATGTAAAATTTGTAGGCCATTCTTATCTTAAAAATATACATTTAAAATATATATTATGTAGAAATTATGTAAGTAGGGCACTGAATCGCAAAATATTAAGTCATATGAATTTTTCTATTGACAATGCTGGGTAAATATCTTCACCGTACTTATACAGAAAACATATTTCAAACTCACTTGTATTAACTGTTACCAAATAAACAGTTTTGCATTTATTGATTTTTATATATCAGTTATTTATCAATATTCTGTAAAATTTCCTGAGCTATATATTTGTAACTAAAGTGTAAAACCAGACGTTAGGTTTGTATTGCTTAATGACCCATGTTTACATTATTTTGAACTTAAAAGAAATGTAAGGGAATAACTTACTTGTTAGTTCACCTGGAAATATTCAAATGCCTATACATTATTATCCCAGTTGCTTATTTGCCCAAAAACCTATTCAAAGAAAAATTAATGCCCATCTTAGTACAAAGATAACAGTGACTGCTCTGAGGCTCCTTCGTTTTAGAGAGCAGTGATTTTCAAGACATCAGCCTCTTTATTGAGAATCATAGTAATATAATGAAAGATGTTAAAGACAGAACTATATTCTCATAAGAGAACAATATTTTTTAATTACTTATTTTCCTGGAACAACATAGACTGCTTGTCGTAGCTTCTCAACTTGGCCCTAGACTTAAACTTATACTGTAATTCAGACTTACAAGGTGGAAAGAGCCAGGCATTACAGACGTGACCTGCCATATTTTAAGTGTGGAAAAGCCATATGCACAAAAGACTGTGTTGGAACAATCCTAATTGCCAAGATCACAAGGAAAGTCATAGGAGTAGACATATTCTGGACTATACCATTAATGCCTAGGAATTATGGAAAGATCTTTTCTATTTAGAGAGGAAAATATTATTATTTTAAAAAAAGAATAACTCTCTATATACAGCTCATGTTCATCACAAACAGGTTCCTACCTTTTTTCTTTTTTTTATATTTTTTTTCTTCTAATTTCTCAAATTCTTTTTCCTTCATGGCATTTTTTCTTCCTATGAAAGTCCTGAGGCAAAAATATCTTTAGCTGTTACCTAGGGAGGAATCAGCTTATGGAACCTTTTGCTTTGCTGCTTCACTAACCTTCATCCACTATAAGCATCTGGTAAGTCTACATTAATACTTCTTGTGGCTTAAGAGAAGCAGGTGTGTGTCTATTAATCGATTAGGAAAGATCACATCTGGCATTTACTCCTTGTCAAATTATTTTGTAGCTTCTGATCTCCCTAAATGAGAAGTATAGAAAGCAATATTTTGCTCCACAAATAATGTGGGATAGTATCCATTCACTGGACACTGTAATCTTTGCAATTGTAGGAAAAATAGTTCAGAGAATGTAGAATTAAAAAATAATAAAAACAGAATAACATTAAAATGCAAGACCAAGATGGAGGGCTGCTGTGCAATTGTTCCCTGAGGGAATTATGCTTAGTGCTCTTAGATCTGGATTATATTTTTTACTGCTGAGTCCCTTTAAATAGCAGCATAGTCCATTCTTATGCTGCTATGAAGAAATACCTGAGACTGGGTAATTTATAAAGGAAAGAGTTTTAATTGACTCACAGTTCAGCATGACTAGGGAGGCCTCAAGAAACTTACAATCATTGTGGAAGGGGAAGCAAACACGTCCTTCTTCACATGGCAGCAGCAAGGAGAAGTGCAGATCCAAGCAGGGGAAAAGTCCTTTATAGAACCATCAGATCTTGTGATAGCACACTCACTGTCACTACAATAGCATGGAGGTACCTGCCCCCATGATTCAATTACCTCCCACTGGGTCCATCCCACAACACATGGGGATTATAAGAACTACAATTCAAGATAAGATTTGGGGGGGAACATAGCCCAACTATATCAAATAGCAAATAAGAAATTATGCCTTATGGCATGATTAAAAAAAAATTCTATAAGAACATCAGCAGCCAACCAAGACCCCACAGGTCTTTTTAAAGAAATGGCTTGAGTGATCTCAGAGAAAGAAAAAACCACCAAAATGATAATTACATTGTGAGTATATAATCTTGGGAGTCTTGGATACATTTTTTTTTCTTAAAAAGGCTAATAAGAAAAGTTGAAAATACAGTTGTATTTACTGAAGCTATCGAGCAACCTCAATCCAACGCCCTCATTTGATACCTGAGCAAACAGTGGCACAGTGTAGGTAAATTGCTAACAGAGATCATATTATGAGCTGTTGGAAGCAAAGTTAAGACTAGATGGCAACCTATGTAATTCACCAACTCTAGTGATGTTAGGTGTTTCAAGGAAGTAATTTTTAATATATTACTATCATTCTAGTTTGCTTTAAAAAGAGACTCCTATGAAGATCCTATATGTTATCAGAGTATGTTAGAATTGTCTTATATAATCAGTGGCAAAACAGTAGCCCAAAAGTAAGTCCTAACCCAAGTGACATTTAGGACCCCTGGCTCTGACTGATTTTATGAGCTATACTGCATAGCAAGAGACATAGAACTGGGGAAAACATGAAAGCAAAGGCAGAATAGAGGAGGGGAAAATGGCTTTATTTTCATTATGTTCTAGCTTTTGCAAATGGAAGCAAAATATCAAAAGCAGTGCCGGAGACTCTCTCTTTAAATAATGCTCAAATGTTTTCAGAACAGAAGACCAAGACCACCTAACGTAATCCATGAATGTGTAAAAACTGAAGCACTGCTGTCTGTGCACAAGAAATGCCATGCAGTATTTTCTGGTCTGTGAATCCCAAGTGGCTTTAGGATACCCACCCAGAAGGGATCTAAGATGGTGTGATAGGTAGTCTTTAAAATAACACTTAAATTGTAATACATGTAATCAACCTTTAAACCCTTCTCCTCTGTTGGGTCGAAATCATATCTACCTTTCCTCTTTTCTCATGCAACTCTCAAGGCTATATTCTGACTGCTCAAAGACGGCAACCATTATTTTGAGCTGATTTCATCTCTTATGAGTAGTAGGTACGGGGAACACAAACGATGTGTTGAGACTAGCATGGCTTGGAGGCAGATTGATGAAAAGTATAGGAAAGTGAAATGTAGTTTAAGGATTGAGGGAGTGAATATAATGGTTTCAGGTATATAATAGAATCAAAATAAGTACTTAGCTCTTCTTTGAGTTTATCTAGAAAACTGACAAAGACATTGTTAAAAATATTAATTAGAGACCTGATGTGGTGTCCCATGCTTGTAATCCCAGCACCTTGGGAGGCCAAGGTGGGTGAATCACTTGAGCCCAGGAGTTCGAGATCAGCCTGGGCAAAACACCTTATCTACTAAAAATACAAAAATTACCTGGGTGTAGTGGTGCAGGCCTGTAATCCCAGCTACTTGAGAGGCTGAGACAGGAGAATAGCTTGAACCCAGGAGGCAGAGGTTGCAGTGAGCTGAGTTTACGCCACTGCACTCCAGCCTTGGCCTCAGAGTGAGACTAGGTGTCAAAAATTTTTTTGTCTGTATATAAGAGTAGAAACATTAAGTACAAAACTGAGAAGGGTTGAAGGGTCTTTGATATTACCCTACTTTTAAACTAACAAGTAAGCTTGCCACTATTTCTCTCTCTCAACTCCCCACATCCCTACCCCACAGGAATCCTAGACCTCTGGATCAAAGAACCAACCTTTTGTTTACTCACAGAGCAATCTTAGCGGCAATAGATCTCCATGCTCCAATTCCCTGTGGGACAAGACAGTAAGAGTCAGAGGTTACCAGGATATGTTGTAGGAATTACACCCCAGGGGAAGAACCACAAAATAAACAGATGCAAAACCTGCATTGGGTACCCCACCTCCTACCCAGAGACGGAGTGAGAGGGAGACATTTTGCTCTGGAATGTAAACAAATTATCTCTGAGCATGATAGGGTAGGTGCTCCTACAAACATAAGCAAATAGCAAATGTCTCCGAGTAATGCACAATCTCTAACTTCCAAATCCTGCTTTCCATTTAATCACTCATTCCTGATCAATCAAAATATTCATGGAGAGTAGGATTGTTTCCAAACAATGAGAATTTGCTTGGCAGTAGAATGTGAAAGGGGTTGGTTCACACGCCAGTGAAACCAAAACAAAACAGTTAATAAGCTCTTAGAGGATAGGAATGATTTCTATGTTTTCTTTATTATCATTGTTATAACCTAGCATTGTTTTAGATGTTGACAATATTGAAATATAGAATACTACACATCAGAAAGGCCACCTTCTATCTTTCATTCAACCCTATTGTAACTTATATTTGGAACAAATATGTCTCATAAAATTCAATCAAAAAGCAATTCTACTTTGTTTTCCAATGTTTCTTTAAAATATATTTACTGTGGGATATTTACCCATTATCCCTGGGTAAAAACTCATGAATTTTGTATGTTTTTTTCCTATTATCTTTAAGCAAAAAACATATTGTTTAATAAAAATGAAAAGAAACTTGAAATTATAAGTGACAATTTCAACTGCCTTCTTAGAATATTCAGTTTCCTGTAATGTTTCTAGCTTTACTTAGAGTTATAGCTATTCCTTCTCCTCTCATGTAGAAAAGGCTATGCGCAGCCCCGTGGTGTCTAGGAAAGAAAACAGTTGCCTGTTTCTTTCTATGCTCCTCACCTTTTCTGAAATTTATATAAACACTTTCCTATTTCTTTAGAGTAGGAGCTAGGAATCAGAAGAAAAGTAAGAAAAATGGCATATTTGTTTACTTTACCAGATGGTTTCATAGTTGCTGGGTCTGGTAGATATTTAAAACTGAATTTATCCTAAATGACACTTTTTTGTGTTTGTAGGGGTAAGGGGCATTCTTCATAGCTACATCCCTACTGAGGATTTCTTAATTACATCTACAAAGTGTTCCTCTAAATTAACTGGTAGTTTTACTTCTTCAACGATGCCTAGAAATGTTGATATTGATGTTAGCTTTTGACTGTTGAATAACTACTATGCTTGGTCCTATTATACAGTTCCTAAGATGAACCCGTGGCTGGGCATTGTGTGTAGCTTAGCTCCAATTGGTGAACACTCATGAATTGATTGACACATGAAGTCATGGGGTGCAGACCTATCCCCATGTGCTGCCTCTCCAGGACTTATTCCTCAGCATGGAGCTAGCAGCACAACTTCACGTCTTTAGCTTTCTTTGGCAGAAGTAAAACAAAACAACACAAAAGAAAACAAAAACAGAAAACAAAAAACAAAAAAACAGGCTTCTGTGTGTACTCTCCACTTCCTGGAACTGAATGGGGAAATACTAAACTCTCTAAGTAATCTCCTTAAGGCCTGTCTTTTTTAACAATTGTCATGGATATAGACGTCTGAATGTCTGGATAATAATTGTGTTTACTCTGAGATATAATAGATTATTGTGAAAACATCAGAAAAAAATAGTGTCTACTCTTTAGGAAATAATGTCACTTGTTAACATCTATGCAAGACAATAATAATTTTCAAATAGTGGTACTTGTATATTGCTATTCATGTAAATGGAAACCAGAAAACAAATCTGTAGCAATAAATTAGAACAAAAAAATCTCAGATACTGTAATTCTCTGTAATATAGCTATGGAGCCTTTGGATGTGGGCTGAAATATTCTACTTTAACTGGCTTTATCAAGTGGAAAAACTGTAAAGTTTTGTTTTTTTTTTTTTAATAATTCAGACCACTGCAAAGGCCAAGAGCTTTTTAAACGCAGAGGCCATAATATGAACAGTGAAAAAAATAAAGCTTTTGAGGTGCTGAGGACTTTTTTTCAAAGAGAGAAAGGTGGTAATATTTCCCATGTGTTTCAAGATAGACACTGAGCACTGTTAATGAGTGTAGATATTCTATAGATACATTTATATGGCCTAACAAAAGAACTTCTGAAAATGCTTAGTTTTTTTTTTAAAAATCAATTTCTTCACAATGAAGTGGCACCCTTGCCTAGCAATGATTTGCTAATTATATGCCAAATATATATTAAAATATTCACAATCAGGATAATAATATAAATTAATATATAATTTATTACATACAAATAATAATATATTCCATTTTAATCCTTAAATCTGTGCTGAAAGAGCTGTTTACAATGATGGAGATGTTTCTTCACAGAACAATATAGTAGCCACGAACCACATGTGGCTATTGAACACTTGAAATGTAGCTAGTGTGACTGAGGACTGAATTTTAATTTTATTTAACCTTAATTCATTTAAATTAATATTTAAATAGCCACATGTGATTCTCGCCTTCCGTATTTTACAGCACTCTTTAAAAACCGGACTTCATATATCATAAATTCGATTACCAAAAGTATATATTGTAGTGCAAATTATTAATCAAATCCTTCTAATAATTTTCAAATCATTTCTTGATTTTTCAAAATTGTTTGAAAGAACATCACTAGGTAAAACCTGCCCTTATCTGATACATAATCTGAGAAAAGGAATTCCAGAACATTTACCCTCTGATTTTCCCAGCACCTGGCACATTGTTGCAGCCAGAGGGCAGCCAGGTGCCCTGCCACCTGTCCTGGATGGTACATACTTTGTGTCAGTACCTACTGCAATGACTCATCCCAGAGAGACCTGGGCCACTATTGATAATGCCTCTGAAAAAGCTGTATGTTTTTTCACCTGCTCCACTGCCCCCAGTGGATTTGAGCTTCTTTGGAGTAGTGGGGAACATAAAACATGTATTCACTCATGCCCCTGTCACCCTAATGCACTTAACAACCACTGGCAGCATCTCAGCAAGGGCCTATTAACTGCGCGTTTTGGCCAATACTATGCAAATCAACCAGTATGAAAAAAATTTGAATATATTAACAATTGGCATAATGTCTGTTGATCAAAATCACTGACTGTATAGGCTTGGGAGATAATTTTTTTCTTTAGCATTTAATTAGCACTTTAGATGTTAGCAGAGACTCAGGTTGTAGTTTGAATATATCACTTAGGAAATTCATAAAACATTTTAAGGAGCTGCATATGTTTAATAGTAGGAATGATAAGAAAAAAGACGTGTTTACCCAGCTGAAACAACACCTTTTTGCTTTCTGTCTGTATGATTTCTGTTTGGTTGATTTATTAATACATTTTGATCTTTTCTGATGTAGTTTAACATCTGTTCAATTACCATATTCTTAACACACATTTCCTTGGCATGTTTTCTGCTCCATCTTCCCTTTGTTCTCTTGGACAAATTGACTGTTGTTGATTTCATTTCGGATGTGCAATAGAAAAGGTTAAGTGGAGATTATACAAGTGAAGTAAGCCATCAGGATAACATTGGAGAAGTTCAAAGGAAAAATAATGGAGGAAAAGGAGTTCGAAAGAGACACAGAAGAGTAGTGAGATAGTAAGAAGAAAACGTATGCTTTAAAATCTAAAATATTGGTGGCTTTTTTGACAAATTTTATAGATTTTTTTCATCAAATTTTGCCAGTCTAATACTAATCTGGTAAATATCGTATCATTATTACTTTGGCTTTCGGAAAAAATTAACTGTACTAAAGTTATGATGTCAGAGAGAAAGGATATTTGCCATTTTCTTTTTTGTGCATTTTCTACTAATTACTTAAATCTGCAACATAATCTTTTAATAAGTTAAACTTGATTTTCCCATTTTCTGAATGAAAATTTTTTGTTTTTGACATTGAAAGTTTTCTCAAGGTCTCAAGTATCATTCTTTTCATGATTTCTTCTTTTGAATATTTTCCTCTCTTTATTCTCTTTTTCCCTTTCTGCAGAACCTTTAATATGCAATCAGATAGCAAAGAGAAATGCAGCATCCAGGCTGGAAATCAATTTCTGTATATTCTTTATTTCCCCCCTCTCATTTTGAGAAATGAAACTATCAAGCTAAACATTGATATAAAACACAGATCTTCTTTGCTAATATCAAACAGAGCTGTCTCAAAATAATAGGGTATAATTGTTAAATAACACAGTAAGAAACACACACACACACAAACACACACACACACTTGACCACTCAACTCAATAATGAGAGATCTATGGGTTACATTTGCCATAATTTACCAAATTTACCAAATTTTACTACAGTGTTTGTTTAATTTACTCAGTTTATTCTGAGTCCATATGAATCTGTACAATTCTCAATTCTGTGTCATTTGTTTTTGTTTTTGCTCACTTGGTCACCCAGGCTAGAGTGCAGTGGTGCTATCACAACTTACTAAAGCTTCAAACATCCAAGCTCAAGTGATTCTACCATCTCAGCCTCCAGAGTAGCTAGGACTCAGCCATGCATCACCATACTCTGCTACATTTTTAAAAATTTTTAATTTTCTGTTGAAATGGGGTCTTGCTATGTTGCCCATGGTGGTCTCAAACATCTGGACTCAAGTGATCCTCCCGCCTTGGCCTCTCAAAGTGTTGGGATTATAGACATGAGCCACCATGCCTGGACGATTGTGTCTTTTGTTAATACAAATTTCCGTGGACCTCAAAATGTAAAGAAGGGCAATTATGAATTTTTTTACAGAAAAAATTTGAGCAAAGACAGTTTCATTATCTTGAGATTGAAACTTCCAAAAGTAAAGACTTGATTTTGGTTGCTAGATTTTCTCTTTTAATTGTGTTGTGAAACGCAATGAAATGATTTTACAAATAAAACAACAGCGACAAAGCTGGGAATCAGAAAAATGGCAGATGCAAGACCTAATATTTAACTGTAGCAATGAAAACTATTATTGTGACTGGAGAATCCTATTTTTCTCTGTGTTATAAGACAAACATAATATATTTCAATCTTCAGAATGTAAAGCTTGACTCTGAAGTTTTAGAGGCTTTTTACACTCAGCATTACAATATTCCTTCAACTTAAACAAAAATCAGAAAAATTTTCCTGACCTGAGAAAATAGAAGTCAACGGAGGGAGTGAAAACATAAATTGTATGTTTCTTAAGATGAAATATTGTTTGCTAGCTGCTTCTATCACCCTTGCTCATGGGAAGGAGAACATTCAGTGTTCTGGATATGGTCATAATATTACCAAGTCTCTCTCTCTCTCTCTCTTTCTTTCTCTCTCTCTCTTTATCTCTGTCTGTCCCTCTCTCACCCACACTCACAAACACACACTTCTTTTATTTATGAATTAAGAAAATAAATGTTTCCCCCTCCGTAGCTGTTACATTTAAATTTCTGCTGTGATTTCCACGGGATTTTTAGCATATAACATAGAACAAAAAATTGGTAAGGAAATAGTTCCATATGTAGTACCAACCCCAAAATACCTCAGGTAATTATTAGGAAGAAGTGAAGGGAGGTTACAATGGAGCAAGCTATCCTATTTTAACTGCACTGATTACATTTCACAGTGGTGACCTGGGCCCCTTGTGGATTGTTCAAATTAATATGCTTCTAAAATGGAACAGCCTCGCCTTCTAAAAGAGTGGAGTTAGTTTCTATATTGTATGCTGTCACTTCATAACTTAATAATTGAAAATTAATGCTCTCTATGATTATCTATAACTCAGGCAAATCCCCTGAATATTATTGAACCAAAATGTCAGGTAGCAATATGCTTCATTGTATATTTAGTTTACTCGTGTTTTAAAAACAACCTGAATTTAAAAATGGCATCAGGAACTTGTGTGTGTGTGTGTGTGTTTGTGTTTGCTAAATCTTATTAAAATAAATTATCTACCAAATTCAGGCATCTCCAATATGAATGTTTTCTTTCATTCATTAAAAGCAAGAAAACCATATCTATTTATGCTGATGCTGGAGCTTAGTTTTCTTTTAAGATTATATTTGTATTATTTTCCATAGATATTTTTTCCCAAAGAAAAGTGCTTTAATTTGCATACCTCCTCTTTCAGTCTAGATACAGAATAAGTAAAGTTTCAATACTGATTAATTATATAACTGTTAGTTTTTAGATAAACTTCCCTGGCAACACTTAGGAACTGAAATTGTTAAAACAGAAACTACTTTCTTAACACAGTACAATATTTACAGTATTTGATGAAGATATTTTCAAATGAGATGTATAATGCTTTATTGGGAAGTCTTAAAATGCATTTTTATCTGGAACTTTTAAATATAATTTGGAAAATGTAAGGCAAAAATCTGAATAGCCAAACCTGGAATAAATGTATGAGAGACTTCACCAAAAAGTTGAGTTCTTTATTGTAGATGTAATGAATAAGAATACATTGTATCTTGTGATTTTCTTTAGTTTCTTCAAGGTTCAGTCATGTACTTTAAAGAAAATATATTTGAGTTTTTAATTTGAGGCAGATGTTGTGTAAATGCTAAAATTGTGACATCTAATGACAGAAGAACTAACTTTTAATATTTGCAACAAGAAAGTTTTGGCTTTGAGATTTCATCACTAAATTGGAGAGGTTTAAAGAATCTTGCTAATTCCTAATGTGAATAATTTCACTCTATGTATCTATTACCACCAAATGAACTAAAGAAGTATTTAATCAGTATGATATTTTGTGTTTAGAAATTAAAATTAAGCATTGAGAAATAGTGTATTTGTAAACGATTTATCATAGTAAATTGGCCCCAGTAAACTTGGAAGATTTAATAAGAGGTGTCAAATTTTTAGGATAAACGAATGATGAAGTAAGAGTTTACTGGTTGAATATACCCATTGACTCATTTATTTAGTCAAAATTTATTATACATCTACTTAGTATATGCTATGTACTGGCTTAGGTAATGAGCATACACAAGTGAACAGGACATTATTCCTACATTCAGACCATTCAGACTTTATACATTTGTAGACCAGGCTTATACAAATAAAAATTATAATAGGGTATACTATATTTTGTATTAATGTATGTCTATGGAGCTATACAAATACGGAGAGATTCTAACTCAGTGAACAATTGCTGTAGACTGGGAAAAATTATCAAGAAATAATAACTTTATGTAGAGTCTTGGGAATTAACAAGAAATAATAGGAGAGACAATTATATGGCAGATTATAAAAAGTCAGAAGAATTTATTGTGATATTTCAAAAAAAATGTAAGCATAGGATGTTTGTAGAATTCTTGCAGAAGATGAATTTGGAGATATTAGCAAGGGACATATTATAGTTTCCACCAAGATCATCATAATTTTTACTGTATTGGGTATAAATGAGCTGAAATTTGTACTTAGAGTTGTTTTTATTGTTTGTTTGTATTTTTTTGAGTGTAGAGTTTTAAGTGTGATTTTGAATCTTCATCTTGAGTATTCATATTCCTAGATGGTCTTGGGTAACCTACTACATTGCTCTAATTCGGGCATTGACCACTTTGACTGCAGTATGGGGGCTATATTGGAAGACACAAGGCTGAAGAAACTATTTAAAAGTTCCATAACACCGCAGAACTTTGTAGTATTTTTTCCTCTTCTGTATGTACAGCACTATATCAGTGGCTGGCATGTTAGTAGACATATAATAAATACCTATTAAATAAAAATGTATCACACTGTTGTAATCTTTAAGTAATAAGTTTGTTGCTATTGAAAGAAAACAAAATAACTTATGTAAAAGGTGTTTGGTAAGTAGAATCATCAGGGCAAGTTTATCAAATCATTTTTGGCTAAGTCTGGAGAGGAAACTAGATGAGTAGATGGTGTTCAGGTTGCTGACTTAGGCTGGGTGGGAAGTGGGAAGGTAGTATTACTCATTGAGATAGGCTATTTAGGGAGAGTATCCTTTTGCTTTTTTCTAAGTGTCCTCAGAAGTTAATGAGAAATCATCACTTAGGTATGAATTCCATACATTAATGTGTGTTTTGACTAAAAACGTTACCTTCAGAAAGCTAGGTGCACTCATTCTCTTTCACATAGGTTAGCTGTTACTTCTCTTTTAAAAGAATATTCCCAGCTGAATATATTCTTCCTGACAGAAGACAAAAGAAAAAAAGAAGGCTTAATCTAGCTACTATTTTTGTCATCTGGCATCTTAACCCTGTATAATATAAACTTCGGGTAAATCCTTTTCTTATTCCTATACTCACTTTAAAAACTAATTTCAATAGCAGATTGTACCATATTTTCTCATTTTTTTCTGATACTATTATTATTGATTCATTTAAATGCATCTTCTTTGTTCTCCTTTTCAGGTTCATTGGTAATTTGCTAAAAGAATGCCAGTGGGAACAGAACAGAAGCATTTTCAAGATTAAATTGGCAATGGTTGTGACTGATTGGATGAAGGAAGTAAGGGGGAGAGATTCATCAGAGAAAGAAGGCTTCTTTAAGCAGCAGAATTGAGGAATGAGTCAGAAAATAAAAGAGCAAACAGGTTTTTGTTGTTTTATTTAATTTTGGTCAACCTACTTGTATTGGCTTTCATAGCATAAAGAAAATATTTTACTTTGAACAAGCATAAAACAAAAACACATCTTTCATACAATACAATGCAATCGATGGCTTTTCCCCAATGATTTATGGAAATAGCTCTAAAGGAGAGAGATGATTTTGTTGCCAGGTCTCCTCAGATATCATCAGTATTTTTAATCTCTCATGACATTGCTCTACACCCTCTTGCTGCTATATTTCTAAATGCCCTGAGGATGTTATTTCTGGCTGTTTCTCTACAATTATAGGACCATATGCTACTCTCCTTGATCATAGAAATTTATGACATGCTCTCTGTTTTACTTCTACCTCAGTTGACATAATATTTTCCAGCAAGTTCATGTGTTGCTTTTAAAATAACTTAATTCAACTCTTGTAGACAAAAAGAAACATTTTCTTTCTGTGGTCATTCAGGATGAGATGGTAACACCAGAGGTCTCAGTAACAACGCTTCAGGGAAATATTTTTAGGATCTGACACATTCAGCAGAGAAAAGGAAGATGAAAAACTGGCCTTTTCCTGAAAATGTGATAAAAGCAACATCACACTGGAAGAAAACTAACAGAGAATGGAGGTTGATCCACCTAAGAGACCTGTAGGTCAACACATATTCAAGTGCAGATCAGAGAATGAGCCTCCCCAGAAGAGGAAGCAGGAGATCTGAAAGAGAAATCTTTTCACAGAAAGGAAGTGCTCTGTTTAACAGAGCTTGACTTTAGCATCAGTCAATTCAGGCAGCTCTACACAGAAGAGAGCATCTTGCCCCAGTGTCCACAGAGAGCAGGCACTTCCTGGACCCTTGAGCAAACATGCCAGGAGGTCACTTAAAACAGCGACTCTTCCTTGGTTGTACAAAATGAATGGTACCAAGAAAAAATTTTCTTTCCTTGGAGGAAAATTAGATTCATTACAAGCATTTTTTTTTTTAAAGCAACAAATGGAACCCAGTTGTAAAAAAAAAAAAAATAAAGAAAAGAAAAGAAAAGTAAAGGGATATTTCTAGAAACTGAAACGATCACAATGATTTATGTTGAATACGAAACATATTCTAACAGTAGAAGGTCACATTAAACATCCAAGTGATGTTAATGCAAAGAAAATTCAACATTATTTTACAAGGAGGTCCAAATTCTGGAGATAGAATTTTCAAAAAACAAACAGATGCGAGAACTACAGGTATGGGAAGAAAATGTAAGATCAGGCAAAAAATCCAGGTGTAAAGAAATTACATAGAGAAAAGCTACTACTAAATCCTGCCATAGTTGTGTAATTAAAAAGTAGTCTCGGGAGGCTGAGGCTGGCAGATCACTTGAGGTCAGGAGTTTGAGACCAGCCTGGCCAACATGGTGAAACCCCATCACCACAAAAAATACAAAAATTAGCCGGTCATGGTGGTGCATGCCTGTAGTCCCAGCTACCTGGGAGGCTGAGGCAGGAGAACCACTGGAACCCGGGAGGCGAAGGTTGCAGTGAGTGGAGATCATGCCACTGCCCTCCAGTCTGGGCTACAATGTGAGACCCTGTCTCAAAAAAAAAAAAAAAAAAAGTAGTAGTGACACTGAAATATACTACCTTATTGTATACTTACCTATGATCCTCACATTAAAAATGTTATAACCCAAAAGCGATTTAAAAACTAACATATATGCTTTTTTAAAAAATGCATTAAATGGTATTTTATCTGTAAGATAATACACAAAGAGCTATTTGACCCCAAATGTAGCTAAAACTAATTAATTTATATTTTTGTTCTAGTTTATTTTCATTGTATTATAAAGGTAATGTTTTCCACCTGATTCATTTGTTTCTTATTCCAGTGTTTTTATTTTCCAGTTAAAAAGGCTTTTGTGACATCTTAAATTATTTAGCAGAGAGGCATGGCCATAGGATTGGCAATATATCTTCTCTTTTTAACTTCTCCCCTATCTTATGGAGATGGAAATTTTGGGTTCTAAGTAATAAGGAACAAACAGTTGAGAGAGAACTTCAAATTTTAAAACTATGGGAATTCATTTCCAAATGCACATTGATTAAATAGTGGATAGTTTTTTGTAAAGGTTGTTTATAAAGTGGATTTTTGTTTCCAAGTCATAGAAGGTAGGTTTAATAGAAGAATCAGTAATCAAAAACATGTCAGAGATGGGCTGGAGGATTGACTCAAACAAAAGGAAGTTTAATAGAAATAAATTTAATATCAAACTTGTGTCCAAAAACTCCATCTGCACAACAGAATATGTGAGAGGCCAGCATATATACATATAAGTACAGTTAGAGGCTTTCTGACTGAAATAAACGTGAGACAGCAGTGAGATCTGGTTGTCAAAATGATATAATCTTAGACTTCGTTATTAGTAATAATCGGTGGAGAGTGATAATTCCACTCTGTTCACACAATCTGTTGTTAGACCACAAGGGGAATTATGTTCAGTTTTGTTGCATGACAGTTTAAGAGGCAAAAATATCAACTGGTGTATAGTCAGGGAAGAGTAGCTAGTGCCTTGTCTGGGCTTTTAGTAGTGCTGTATGCTGAATATTAAAGGAGGCAGAAATATTTAATATGAAGAATGGAAAATTACGGGGCAGCAAATAAACCCACGCACTGAACTCGGGGGCTCAAAGCGCTTTATGGAGCCACATCTCTCATAATTAATTTAAAATATAACATCAATGAAACATAAAAGATGTATTAAAAAGACTAGAAAAATTATGGTTCCTATTATTGTTAATACTATTTTTGACACATCAACACTTCAAATTATTTCAGAAAACATTATCAAAAACTTTTTTCATTATCGAATTTTGTGACATTCTTTTGTTGGTGCCCTAAGCATGACTCCAGAGCATTGTGGAAATACAGCTCTTCAGGAGGTGGTCACTTTTCAAATACTGGAAACATTTGAATGATGGAGATAACATGTTCAGTATTTAAATATTCAAAACGTATTTGAACCAGAGGACTGCGAAAATTTCTTCTAAATCAAGCAGTACTATTTTTGTCTCTAAATAATAATTTCATTCCTATTAGTTCATATTCTCATATAAATTGATTATAATACATAGAAATTTTCAGATCAAATAAAACGGAGATAAATTAGGTTAATATATGTTAGCTTCTATATTTAACTAAGATTTTTAACTGAAAGTTGTAAGTCACTTTTTCAATTTTGCATTAACCTCATTGCAACTGTCATGGAGTTGATACGGCATTATCCACAAATTGCTTCTGAAGATTATTGGTAGAGGGTACAAAGCAAGGCACATCATCTTTATCATTTGAACACAGGAGATATGATTTTTTAATCTATTTTCTATTGTTATTTGATATGCAATCTCACTTTTAGTAGAAACAGTTGTTTCATTTGCACACAAAAATAAATAGACTTCATTTCATTTGGAGTGGTGGCTTAAATAAGTATATTTGGTTTCAAGAAGAACAGAAATTGTGTTTTTTATTCTTGAGGATAAATTATAAACTCTGCAAAAAATATTAATAGTTTTATATCTTATTTTAGACATCATTTGCTTTAGGGACAATAGAGAAAGCTCTTACAGGAGTTTAAAACGACTAAAAACTAATGTGTAATGAGAATCCTTCACTGCCTATCTCTTGAATTATTAAGTTTGGGCTTAGGTAAAAAGTGCCGTGATTTTTATTTTTATGTAACGACTTTCTTGGGTGCCATAAGGAAAATATTGGGTTTAGCTTTTATTAATTTTTAATAATTTGCTAACCAGTAAGCTAGAAGTGTGCTACTAGAAATTACATTTTGGATAACAAAGAATATTTCCCATGAATCTGTACTCTTTAGCAGCTAATGAACATCTGTTTGTTTGTATAAGCAATCAAACAAACAAATGGAGCCCAGCGCTCAGACTCAAGAACTAGTTTCACATGTAAGTAAAATGTAATTCTCTGCTTCTATTGTATCATTATTATTTTTATTATAACTTTGGGGTATCAGCACCAAACAGGTACATATAATTAAATATAAAAACCATGAAATATGTATACAATTAATTTACATGTAATTAAAATGAATATTTGTATAATTAAAAATAAATTTTGCATTATTCTTATTAGTAAGTATTGTTGTTTCTTTTATTTATAAATTTGGGCTCTCTAAAAAGCTTTCCATTCTCTCTGTTGCTTCACAGCTGGAATTATTGTGCATGTCTCTCTCTAGGTATACAGCCTTGCTTTTTGTGAATTCAATTGATTGGGCCAGAAGTGAACATATGATATTGAAAGTGTGAGTTGGTCTAATAATTTTCTTTTTGCTGCATACTGGCTCATGATGAGACTGTGACAATCAAGTATAAGTGTAGAGTTTGTTACTTTTTGTCAGCTTAGTACCCAATGGCATCAATTTGGGGCAGCCCTTCTGGTCTACGGGAAAGTAGATTGCAAGAGTCAGATTACAGAGGGAAAAAGAAAATTAAGCAGAGATAATAAAAAGGAAAGTAGAAGGAGAGTGAGAGAGTTTTTTTTGACACCATTTAAGTTTCATTTCCTGTGTTAGTTTTTTGTGAACTCATAGAGCATTCCTTGCTTTGTACGTTTCATAATTAGTTTCATTCCAAAATTAGTTTGAATATATTCCTCTTCCTTAAAAAACAAATAATTCCTTATCAAAATATACAGTAAAATGAGACTTGCATTTTAGATATATTTTATTATGTTCTTTATTTTACTTGGAGAAACTGAGGCTTAGTGAGGTTATACAACGTGCTTATATTTATTTCATAGAAATATTCTTTTGTCATCTTATTTTTTAATAATTGGGAATTTTTATTAAAATACAGTTAACATAATTTAAACTACACATATTGTAAGTATTCAGCTTGACCACCAGTATTCCATCACATGGGCAAGCCACAATATGTTTGTCCAGTTTCCCGCTGATGAACATTTGGTTTGTTTTCAGTTTTCGTCTATGAATAAAGATGTTATAAACATTATGATACAAATATTTTTGTGAATATACACTTGTATTTTTATTGAATAAATAGGATTGGAATAATTAACTGTATATAAGAAACTCCCAGAACAGTTCTCCAAATGGGATGTACTGTTTTACAGTCTCATCTGCGGTGGATGAAAGATCGGGTCCTGGTGCTTCCATATCTGCTCCAACATTTAGTGTCCTTAGGTTTGGTTTTGTTTCCCATTATGGTGGCTGAAATGTAATATGATTGTAGTTTAACTGGCATTTTCCATTAGCTAATAATAGCAGGTTTTCATGTGCTTTCTGGCCATTTGTGTATTTTATTCTGTGTACATGTGTTCACTTTTTCCTTTAAAAAGTTAGGTAATTTATTGATGATTTTTATAATTTCCTGATCTATTTTGAACACTAGTCCTTTGTGAGATATATATTCTGTGAATATTTTTTATCTGTGGCTTATTTAATAATTTTTAATAGTATTTTTTGATGAGAAGACATTTTTAATATTAAAGAAGCCCAATTCATCAATCATTTTTGTCTCTTATTGTTTGTGGGGTTTTTTTTTTTATCCTGACTGGGGATTTTTTTTTTTAATTTTTATTTATTTATTTATTTATTTGTTTGTTTATTTATTTATTTTTACCTACTCTGAGCCTACAAAAGTATTCTGTTTCAAGAAGTGTGAAGGCTCTGAGGTTTTACTCTACTTACAAAGTAATATTTGATCATTACAGTTTCATGAATGCTATTAGAATACCCAGTATTAGGACGTCAGACTAAAAGGACTTTATGTCAAGGAATAACAAACAGCATATGACCATCCACATATTTTTCTCAAAGTTCTTTCACCTCAAGTCCCATGTGATTGATATGGATGGACCAAGATTAGTGTTTCATGTTCAGTAGGTTGAGTTACTGGAGAAAAACACTGAGCATAGAACATTTGAATCTTTTATAATAGGCACTAAGCTTGCCAGCCCTTTGATCTGGAGAAAGACATTCTTTTTACTGTGCTAGGCAGTAAGCATAGATTTGTTCCATAAGGAGGCACTATCTTCATCTTCCAAGGCTATAAGCAAACTCACCCTTTCTGGGGAGCAACATTACCTCTATCTTCCAAAACTATTTTATATATATATATAAATAAAATGTATATAAATAAAATAAAAAATAAAATAAAATAAATATATATAAATAAAATAATGTATATATATATATTTACTATCAAAGACCCTTCAACCCTTCTCAGTTTTGTACTTAATATTCCTACTCTAATTTATACATATATATGTATAAATTGTTATTCTTTTTTTATTTTTATTTATTTATTGTTTTTTGAGGCAGAGTCTTACTCTGTCACCCAGGCTGGAGTGCAGTGGTGCCATCGTGGCTCACTGCAAACTCCACCTCCTGGGTTCAAGTGATTCTTCTGCCTCAGCCTCTTGAGTAGCTGGGATTACAGGCATGTGCCACCACGCCCAGCCAATTCTTGTATTTTTACTGGAGACGGGCTTTCACTATGTTGGCCAGGCTAGTCTCAAACTCCTGACCTCAAGTGATCCACCTGCCTCGGCATCCTAAAGTTCCTGGGATTACAGGTATGAGCCACCATGCCCAGCCTATTATACAAATATTTTTTAAAAGACGGTTTGAAACAACAGATTTTCAGTGCCTCTGATCCTAAAACATGCAAGAACAGGAGAGACTGGTGGGTAGCGGTGTTACAATTCTTTCTAAAAGCTTTAAGATTTTGAGTTGTGCTTATTTAGGTTTATGCCGCATCTCAACTTGTACATGAAGTGAGATAATCACCATGGCTTTGTTTTGTTTTGCTCTGTTTCTTAATATATGGATATTCAGCTGTTCCAAAAATGTTTTCAAAAATTCTTTCCCATCCCTATGGAATTGGTGCCTTTTCCTAAAATCAATTAAATATATATATGTCTATTTTTATACTCTCTATACTGAATTTGTCTATTCTTACACCAGTACCAATGTTTACTTAATTATTGTAGGAAAAAACATGATTTTTATACAGTAGTTGTTGCATCACATAATTGACTTTCATTGTTTAAAATCATTTTCTAAGTCGTATGAGTCAGCTAGCAATGCCTTGGATAATCTGCTCTCCTGCCTTTGCACTTGACCCTGTGGAATCCATTTTTCATACAGATGCCAGAGAGCTTCTTTAGAAATGAAAGAGAGACCAGGTCACACCTTCTCTAACCCTCATATTGATTACCGATTCATTCAGAGTTAAAGCACAAGTCTTCACAATAAACTTATCAGTGCCTTGTATTTTCTGTAGCCCCAGCTTCATCTCCCACCACTGTATCCTCACTGGCTTTTTCCTAGCTTCCCTGGTTTCTGCTGTGTTCCTTTGAATTGTAAATGTGCTCCCCCCTTCAGGAGGCTTTGCATGGTTTATTCCCTCACTTCTATCAGGTCTCTCTCACAAGTTGTCTTACCTGTGAGGCTTTCCAGACTGCACTGTTAAACTTGAAATATCAACCAACTGTCCCATGCTGCCCTTCTCCCTTCTCATACTTTATTTTCTCTCCTGACATTCATCACCATCTGACATATTGCTTATTTCTTCTTTTGTTTGTTTCCTCCCACTAGAATACAAGGACCATGAGGCAGACCCTTTGTGTCATTTGTTCTTTGCTAGAATTAGATGCCTAAACTATGCACTGGAATATTAGAAATACTCAATATTATATACTGAATAACTTAATGAATTATCTCTCACACTGTGCATAATCTCATCAATATTTTATTCTTTTGAGTTGTTTAATTGTTAATTGTGTTGCAATAGTGCAGGCATACATTGTGTTTCATCATTCCATTATGCAAATAAATCTCACAGAGGTTACATCACTTGCCCAACGTCATATATCTTGCAATATACAAAACAAAAAATCATCCTAGATTTGATTTTTAGAGTTTTCTCACCAATGTTCTTATTTAGAAAAAAAAATGTGTGTGTGTTTGTGTGTGTGTGTGTATTAGCACACAGTGTAAAGATGTAAATAGAGATTGGCTAAAAAGGGAACACAGTTTTTCTGGATCACCACATTGTCTTTGTGAATACAATGGCACATTTCACTTATTTAGCACTTTTACTGTAAGATCTATAATAAAGAATAGCATTTTGTACTTACTCAATTTTAATAAAATTTGACTTGACCTCATTTTCAAAAGAAGAGTGGAAATGGCCAGCAATATACTAATAAATTATATTACAAAACACTGTTATTGTTTACAGAATTCTCTTTTTTATACAAGAGAAAAACATTTCTCACTTTGGGGAAAATTACACATCATATTTCAAAATGAGAAAAGTAGACTATGAAAACAGATGTCTTTCACATTCACTTAGAAGAGAAAATATTCTAAGTAGATAACTCTCAGATAAATACAATACTACTTTAAGCTGGCTATACAGAAAGAAGAGAATTATTTCATAAAATGACACAACATTAATTACTTTAAAAGGCTGCAAAACGAAATGATGAAATCACAATGTTAAAAACCCATTCGTGATTGTGATATCAATGAGGATACTAAGAATTCCCAAGACCTACAGGGTCATTTGGGAGTAGAGCAAAATAAGTGTACTTCAAATTTGTAAAACTTTCTGCTCTAATGCAATACAATGCTCTTTTGTTTTTTTGCAACTCATTTAATTTTATTTAAACTAC
The DNA here is from genome assembly GCF_000001405.40 of Homo sapiens. NCBI lineage: Eukaryota > Metazoa > Chordata > Mammalia > Primates > Hominidae > Homo > Homo sapiens. Next base: position 82,425,008 of record NC_000003.12, read on the forward strand.
TTAGATTCCGATTTATGAAACTCTTACAAGACTGAGATTTTCTGACTCTTAATATATCGCTTGGATAACTAATGGATAATTTAAATTTAACCTGGCCAGAACTTAAACAACGACAACAACAACAACAACACGTCACTTTCCTATTCAAATTCCTGAATATATTTGCTCTTATTTCCCTACCTGAATCCAATCTTCTGAACATTTCTGAACTAATGACTCCCTTCTTATGCCCTTGCCCACTCCTCTTTCATCTATCTCTATTCTTCCTTCTGTTTCTCAAAGATGCTAAGTTAAAAGCTTTTGTTTTTTGTCTTTGATTTTTGTTTTTCGTCTTTGATTTTTGTTTTTCTTAGAATTCTTTTTTCCCATTTTTTCTGTTTTATTTTAATTTTTTATATTTTTCTTCAATTTTATTTCTTACTTGATTTCATTTCTGGCCCAATGCCATCTCCTAAAAGAGGTTTTCTTTAATCTTAGAACAGTTCAAATCTTCCCACTGCTGTTGTTATTCTCTATCCACTTTTCCTGATTTACTTTCTTTTGTCTCTGTATATTTTAACGTATATGCTATACTGTCTTTATTTCCTTATGTGTTGTCAATCACTTGCAAAAATGTAAGATCTTGTAGCAAGGTCATGCCTTTACTACCTAGGAGAGTTTCTAGCTCAAGTATTAGGGATGTATTATACGGCTGTTGGCTATATGACTAAAGTAATAGGTTGGAAATTGTATATAAATTCATACTTTGCATGTTCAAGGCATATATGGACAAGAATTAATTTAGAAGGAAGCTATTTCAAAGTAAAAGGAGGTAAAGTTAAACTAATAAAGTATAAAGTAAAAGAATTATTTAAACATTTGATAGGAAGTGGTATAGAATTAAGCCTTACTTCCCTTCCCACAATGGTTGCTGACTTGGAGTACTACTCTACAGAATACTTGCACAGATGTTTGAGTTCCATGCTAAAAAATGTGTCATAATAATTAACTACTGTGGAAATCTTTGACTATGAAGCTTTCTAAAATGTCTTACTATTTACTTACTTAGTCAAAATGGAACACCTTCACTTGACAACACTACACTTATTTTTGTTTCAAATGATCACATTTGTGACCCTCCTCTTTCCACCATTCAGATAATACTACCATACCTAGATAAAATGTCTTCAGTAAGAAAAACATTAACTAGAAAACAATAAAATATATAAGGAGGAACGAAGCTGAAATAATTATCTTATTCAAACAAAATATTTTCCAGATCATTAGTCTCAAGAATTTTATTTTTATTTTATTGATTTTATTAGGTTTTACAGGCAAATTCTTTCTGTTATATCCATCTCACTCAATTACAGCAAGTTAATTTATGCTAAATGGCTCTTTAAGAAATTTTTGTCTGGAGAAGAAAGCAAGATGATCTTTTACCTACAACTCATGACATTTTTTCTTGGGTGGCAGAACTAGGTAGAAATATACACTTAGATAAATGTAACAAAGTAGAATGATAAACTTATATTTACTTTAAATTTTCAGTATCTACTTTTTGTGCTCCTTTGAAAACTCAATCACGTCTAAGATGAGTCTATTGTTATTTTAGTCACTATATTAATAAAAATAATAAGACTAACCTTTTGCAGTTATTAAGCAAACTTATCTTGTGTTGAAATGTGTTTTAAAAAGTTTCAATATATAATGGATTATAATTGTTGAATGCAGATGAATACATGTATTTATGAAATTATCAAAAAAAGTAGAAAACTTTCATATTGTCATAAGCCTATATGAATAAGTAACAAATATAAAGGTGTTTTAAGAAGCAAGTATTACTTTTTAATTTTAATCATATACATATATGATTCAATCATATATGATCATCTATTTGATCATATATGATAGAATCATATAGAGACAAGAAGGAGATTTTGTTAGGCGCTTGTATGCATAGAACAGTCATAAATTGTAAATTATTCACTTTAATATATAGCAATGTTATTAGTAGCGTTATTAGTAGCGTAAGGTTTAATCTAAATGTTATTAGTAGCATAAGAGTAATCAATGTTATTAGTAGCATAAAGTTTAAAGATGATACACTATTCATAGAGGGGGAAAATAACAAAAATAAATCAAGAAAAAATTTTGGTGCTGAAGTCCTATAGATTTTTTGCTAAATAATATTTTTTAGAAATTAAAAGGCATTAACTTTTTTTGCAGAGAACTATTGAAATGTTATTTTAATATCAAATGCAAGCTTTAAAAAAATCCCATTTAAATGTAGAACAAATCTTTGTTAAGGACAGGGTTTAATATGCTGTGAGAACTCTCCATTAAAGCTCTTCTGACCCTTTTTGATTTGAATTTTTTTTTACTTTTGTCTCTTGTCATATCTAGGATAGAAAATGTTCTGAATATATAGGTGGGCTGCATGCTGATGACATAATTGGGAAGTTTTAATTGCTAATTTGAAACAAAAAGCTTGTATAAAGCTCCAATGATCATTTAAAGCCATTAGAAACCTCCCTGGAAAATGTAGATCTTTCTGAATTTAACATACTGGTTCTAAACCATAATCAAAAGGCTAGGAGACCATGACACATGCAATGGCCTCTTTGTTTTATAATTAGTGATTTATGTGTCACATTTTTGAATAATTAGTACTTTAATATTTCTTTTAAAAATTATTCACATTATGGGAACATTAGCAATTGAATTGGAATCCATATGCTGATTACCACGCAATGGGTTGCCTCTGAAATCTTATTTGCATTCTTAGTTTAAAGGTCATGAAAAAAAGACGGAAGAAAAAGAAGAATTCCTTTTTTTAGTCTATGTTAAAGTTTATTTGAGATCAGATAATTTGAGAGATAAAACTTAAATCAGATATTAGAGAACTCGGCTCTGAAAGTTGGAGGACAGACACGGTGTTATTGCCTCTATTGTTTTACAAGAATAAATTTTTGAAGTTACAGCAGCCTGCCTTTCAAAAGAAATTATTTTATTTTTTTCTTTACTGGTAAACTTGATATATTTTTGTTTTTGTTCTTAAACTCAATTATGAGAAGTTATCAACTATAGATAGTGTTCAAAATAAATAAATTTGGTTTCTTTAAAATAATCTGTCAAATGAAATCCCCCCTTTCCATATTTTCCACAATATACTCTAATAAATCATATTTTACAGATACTCCTAAGAAAGCATAAATGTTCTACCATATGCCATTTTGAGTTACCCATCATATCACACTAGCAGTAATATGAAGCTACTAAGTAAACCAGATATTGAACCTGAAATTTTTGACAGAGTAAATACAGGGTTGTCATCTTAAATATGTGGCACTCAGGGCTCAGCAAAGTATTCAGGCTATGGAAACCACACACAGTCACACAAATAGCCAAAGTCCCACAACTCTAGATGAGAGTTCTATTGATTTTTTAGTTAACAACACTGGACATTTCATCCTGCATTTTCTTCCTAGGTAGGATTAATACCCTCTTCTACTGTGATTAATACCTCTTTTGTTGAGTAAATGACATTCATTCTCTTTAATAGTTATGAGATAGTAAAAATAAACTAGTATATACTCAATCACCCTAACCTAAGGGGAAAAAGAGATGATTATGATAGAGGACACACATAGATATTGATAATTATTGCTGTACCTGAGATCTTGTTGGGAAGATTTAAAATGCATAATGCATATAAGCCTAAGCATTTTTCTATCATCTATCCACTTTTGACTCCCTTACCTCTTTAGTCATATTCTTGACATAGAATGTGTCAGGACTCTGAGCCCAAGCTAAGCCATCATATCCCATGTGACCTGCATGTACACATCCAGGTGGCCGGTTCCTGCCTTAACTGATGACATTACCTTGTGAAATTCCTTCTTCTGGCTCATCCTGGCTCAAAAGCTCCCCCACTGAGTACCTTGTGACCCCGCCCCTGCCCGCCAGAACAAACCCCTTTGACTGTCGTTTTCCTTTACCTACCCAAATCCTGTAAAACGAGACTCTCTTTTCAGACTCAGCCCGCCTGCACCCAGGTGAAATTAACAGCCTTGTTGCTCACACAAAGCCTGTTTTGTAGTCTCTTCACACGGACTTGAGTAAAAGAATGCTTTCCTACTTTAAGACCAGTTTTGCATAGGTCTCTCCCCTGCTCACACATGAGCTCCCTAGTTGAACAGGTAATGTCATTTGTTTCAGTAGTTCCAGTTCCAATCCCACAATCTGTCACTTACTAAGTACTTCGGTGGATTTGTTGGATGAATTATCAAAATAATGAATGTCATAGATGTTTTCTTTTCCTTCTACCTCTTTTCTTTATCTTAGAAAATGTCACACATCAATTCTTTATAACAGCGATCAGAATGGGAGCATCTGTGAGGTACAGCTATTCAAGTTATAGATAATTGGTTAGAAGATTTTATCAGATACATAAAAACTTAAATATTTATGTATGAATGATTTACAGAGAAAATATTGTAAGCTATCCACTGGTATTTTTCTATAACAGGAGGCTCTTTCCCCCTGTAGCCACTAATATATCAGTTACTTGATTTTTTTTTTCCCTTGAGACAGAGTCTCACTCTGTCGCCCAGGATGGAGTGCAGTGGTGCAATCTCGGCTCACTGCAACCGCCACCTCCAGGGTTCAAGCCATTCTTCTGCCTCAGCCTCCTGAGTAGCTGGGACTACAGGCACATGCCACCACGCCTGGCTAATTTTTGTATTTTTAGTAGAGACAGGGTTTCACCATATTGGCCAGGCTGGTCTTGTGATCCACCCACTGCGGCTTCCCAAAGTGCTGGGATTACAGGTGTGAGCTACCGTGCCCAGCCAGTTACTTGATTTTTTAAAGATTATATCTTTTCTGATTGGTTCATGCACATGCTCTTCTGCAGCAGATCCAGGTATGCTTCTCATTATTAGGTGTGATGCACAAAATTATTCTGAACAAATTTATTGTTAATAAGAAAAAAGACCATTAACAATTGCAATCTGATTTTAAAATAATGCAATTAAATCCAAAGTTTACTGTAGGATTACATAAAAAATGTGCCATTTCATCTTTTCATTTGTGCCAATATTATAAGTTGATTATGTTTAACTGTGAAATGAAGAAAACGTAGATCAAGTAAATACAGGTTAGGAGTCCTGAGTAGAGAAGAGTTTGCATATAACAGGATGATATGTATCAGACTCCTTGAGAAGGTGAGATGTACATAAAGATTTGAAGGAGGTAAGGGAGTTAACCAATGAGTTATATGAGAGAAGAACATCTCAGCAGAGAGAACAGATAGAATAAAATTTCTGACAGGGGATATGCGCTGGCATGGTCAAGGAACAGGAAGAGGAAGAAGGTCAGGGTGTAGGAAGATAAAAATTAAGAGAGGAAGAATGTCTAAATCATGTTGGGCTTGCAGAACTTTGCAAAGACTTTGACTATTACTATGAATCAAATCAATAGAGGATTTGGGGTAAAGAAGCTATAGACCCTGCTCCAATTTATTAGATTTTTCTGTATGTCTTCTTTGTCTTAAGGAGAGCAAGGATAGCTGCAGAGAATACTGTTTGGTGTTTATTCCCCAAATCAAAGCTAGAGGTGATGCTGCTTGGGCCAGGATGGTAGCAGTGGAGGTGATGTGAATTGGTTGTATTCTAGATATATTTTAAAACTACAGTTAGCAGAATTTCTCAGTAGACAAAATATGGAGTGTAAATGAAGCAGATGTTATAAGAATAGCTTTAAGCTTTCCAAATTGTGGAACTGGAAGTATGAAATTACATATAAGTGAACTTACAAAGGAATGCTTTGAATGCAGGAGGTTTTTGTTGTTTGTTGTTTTTTGGTTGGGAGGAAGGGGAAGATCAGAAATTCAGTTTGACATCTGATATAATGTTAGATATAGAAAATAATAGCATTTTGTTTGCAAAATTAAAGAATAATCCAGAGAGAAAATACAAAAAAGAGAAGAAAATAAACTTCCCTATATTTCTATTACCCAGGCATTAGAGTGGAGAGTATATAATGAGTGACAGAAAGTGTTCTCTGGTGTATCACCAATGGTTTTGCAGGTTTAAAAGTATATCAGGTAGGAGGAGTGACATCAGCCAAGATGGCAAATTGGGAAGTCTCAGCACACATTTCCCCATAAGGACACTGAGTTAACAATCATATAGAGACAAAAACATCTTATGAAGACTCCAGAAACCAGTTAAAAGACTGTAGCACCACAGGCAAGCCCAAAAGCTGAGAACAGCCACATTGAAATGGGTAAGAAAAGTCTTTTCCCTTTATTGATTATTGCCCCTTTCCCAAGCCAGCACCGCTCAGCTCAGCAAACAGCTCTTCCCTCAGAAAAAACAAAGAGTGAAATGTGTATCCAATGTCCCCGCATTTAGAAAGGCAACCCAAAGAACTGTTGTCTGTCTCAGCTGTCTCAGAATGGTAATAAAACCTACATAGTTTGGATGCCCAGGAGATGCTAAAGCAAGGGAGAGCAGTTGTAGGGAAGCCTGCAGTTCCACAGAAGGAAGCCAACATGGCTTGTTATGATTGGGGGAAATCTCAAGACTCTTGGGTTCTCTCACAGGAGGGAGGGAGAAGAGTGGAACATGCATTTGATGTTCCAGTACTTTAGAGAGCTGCTCAAGGAACTGATATGTCTCACCTGATTTGTGCACTGATAAGATTCTAGCATAATTTGGAAACCTGTAGGGCTCTGAAAACAAAGGAGAGCAGGGTAGCTTGGAACCATAGCACCAGAGGAATTAAAGTCTTGCAGACAGATACCAGATGGAATAAGAGATTATGAGCCCTTGAAAAAGATTCTCTCTGTAAGCAGAAAATTACAGGCACAAGCTCAGAGAAGGCACATCGCTCAAAAAAGTTTTCAGAACTCCCCAGAATCTCTAGCCAAATAATTGTTGAAGGTTTTATACTGTATGACGCCAATCCATAAAGACTGGGAGATATGGCTGTTATCTTCAAATGCATAAAATACAGCAAAAACAAAAATCACAAGGCAAAAACGAAAACAAAATCCAACCAACCAACTAACACATAAAAACCAGAGGAACCTGATCACACAGGCAAAAAGCAAAACTCCAAAACCAATTCCAGAGAAATAGATTACCTGACAAAGCATTTAAAATGATGTCTCAGTGATCTAAAAGAGAATACAGATAGAAAACTACACGATATCAGAGAACAAAGGCACAAATAAAAATGAATATCAATAAGGAGATAGAAACTGTCTTAATTTATGTGGGCCTCTATAACAAAATACCATTGACTAGGTATCTTATAAACAACAGAAATTTATTTCTCATAACTCTGGAGGCTGGAAATTCCAAGATCAAGGCATCAGTGGTGTCTGGTGAGGGCTCACTTCCTTAGAGCTGATGCCCTCTAGCTGTGTTCTCACACGGAGAAAGGGGATAGCTAGCTCTCTATAGTCTCTTTTATAGAGGCAATGATTCCAATGACAAGGATTTTACCTTCATGGTATAATCACCTCCCAAACCACCCCCACCTCCAATGCCATCACACTGGGGTTAGGACTTCAATATACAAATTTTGAGGATATACAAACATTCAGATGATACTAGAAACTTTAAGTAAAGAACTAAACAAATTCTAAAACCAAAGAATATAATAATCAAATGGAAATTTTTACTGGAAGAGATCAACAGCAAACTTGATCAAGCAGAAGAAAGAATTAGTGAACTCAAAGGCAGGTAATTTGAAATTATTGAGTCAGAGGTGCAAAAACAAAAGAAAATAAAGAAAACTGAAGAAAGCCAAAAGGACTTACGGGACACAAACAAGCCAAGCAATATATGTACTATGGTAATTACAGAAGGAGCAGAGAGAAATTAACAGAGAGCTTATTTGATGACATAATAGCCAAAACTTTACCAACTCTGAAAAGGGAAATGGACATCAAAATTCAAGAAGCTTGAATAATTGTAACTAAGACAAACGCAAACAACCCACACTGAGACACATTATAATCAACCTTTCAAAAGTAAAAAGCAAAGGGAAAATACTGAAAGTAGCAAGAGACAAGCAACTTGGTCCATACAAAAAAGGTTCCATAAGATTATAAGCAGATTTCTCAATAAAAACTTTATAGGCCAGAAAGGGCTTATATCATATATTTAAAGTGCTGAAAGAAAAAAAAAAGTCTACCCTGAATACTGTATCTGACAAAACTGTTATTCAAAAATTAAGTAAAAGTAAGTAAAGTAATTACCAATTGGTAATTACTTTAAATGTAAATTGATTAAACTCTCAATCAAAAGACTAGAGTAGTTGAGTGGATGAAGAAAAAAAGATCCTACTATATGCTATCTACAAGATACTCACCTTAGGCCAGGCGGTTTGGCTCACACCTGTAATGCCAACACTTTGGGAGGCTGAGGCAGGTGGATCACCTGAGGTCAGTAGTTTCAGACCAGCCTGGCCAACATGATGAAACCCTATCTCTACTAAAAATACAAAAATATTAGCCAGGTGTGGTGGTGGGTGCCTATAATCTCAGCTACTCAGGAGGCTAAGGCAGGAGAATTGCTTGAACCTGGCAGGTGGAGGTTGCAGTGAGCCAAGATCACACCATTGCACTCCAGCCTGAGCGACAAAAGCAAGGCTCTATCTCAAGAAAAGAAAGAAAAAGAAAAAAAAAGACACACACCATAGATACAAGACATATATAGACTGAAAGTGAAAGGATGAAAAAGATATTCCATAAAAATGATAACCATACCCTTTGCCCACTTCTTTATGGAGTTTTTTTTCTTATAAATTTGTTTAAGTTCCTTATAGATACTGCATATTAGAGCTTTGTCAGCTGCATAGATTGCAAAAATGTTCTCCCATTCTGTAGGTTGTCTATTTACTCTCTTGATAGTTTCTTTGTTATGCAGAAGCTCTTCAGTTTAAGTAGATCCCATTTGTCAATTTTTGGTTTTGTTGCAATTGTTTTTGGCATCTTTGTCATGAAATTTTTGTCTATTCCTATGTCCAGAATTGTATTACCTATGTTGTCTTCCAGAGTTTTCATAGTTTTGGGTTTTACATTTAAGTATTTAATCCACCTTGAGTTTATCTTTGTATATGGTGTAAGGAAGGGGTTGAGTTTCAATCTTATGCATATGGCTAGCCAGTTCTCCCAGCACCATTTATTGACTAAGGAGTCCTTTCCCCATGGCTTGTTTTTGTCAGGTTTGTTGAAGAT